>NT_187391.1:0-57835 GCF_000001405.40 Homo sapiens | reverse complement strand
TCCATTCCATTCCATTTCACTCCACTCCACTCCCCTCCACTCTATTCCACTCCATTCCCTCCACTCCACTCCACTCCCCTCCACTCTATTCCACTCCATTCCCTCCACTCCACTCCACTCCATTCCTCTCCATTCCATTCCATTCCATTTCACTCCATTTCATTCTATTCCATTCCCTTCCATTCCTTTCCTTTTCAATCCACTCCACTCCATTCCATTCCATTCCATTCCATTCCATTCCATTCCATTTCAATTCCATTCTATTCCATTCCACTTCATTCCACTCCGTTCCATTCCACTCAACCCCACTCCACTCCATTCCACTCCACTCCATTCCATTCCATTCCATTCCATCAGTCTAAACGACTCTTTCCACTCCAGTCCACTCCACTCCAGGCCCACCTTATCCACTCGTCTCTATTACATTCTAAATCCGTTCCTTTCCACTCCTTTCTTTCAACAGGTTCTCAATCTTTCAGCCACGTTGGAGTGCAGTGCACAGTCCAAGCTCACATTTCGTTTAACATTTATATTCCATTCTATTCCATTCCACTCCACTCCACTCCACTACACTGCACTACACTACACTCCATTCAATACCATTCCTTCCCATTCCATTCCACTCCACTACATTCCACTCCACTGAACTCTATTCCATTCCATTCCACTGCACTCAACTCCACTGCAATCCACTCAAATTCATTCCATTGCACTCCGTTCCATTCCACTCCTTTCCATTCCTCTACACTCCATTCCAATCCATTTCACTGCATTCCATTGCACTTAATTCCACTCCATTCTACTCTATTCCTTTCCATTCTATTCTACTCCATTCCATTCCATTCCACTCCACTTCACTCCATTTCATTCCATTTCATAACAATCCAAACCAATCCATTCCACTCCAGTACAATCCACTCTACGCCACTCCACTCCATTCCATTTTAGTAGATTCTAAATCCATTGCATTACATTGCATGATTTCAACAGGATCTCATTGTGACATCCACGGTGGAGTGCAATGTAGAATCTCAGCTCACATTTCATTTAACTGTTGCATTCCGTTCCACTACATTCCATTCCATTCGATTGCATTCCATTCCACTAAATTCCACCTTACTCCACTCCCCTGCATTCAACTCGATTCCTCTCCATTCCATTCGGTTCCATTCCATTCCATTTCACTCCAGTCCATTCCACTGCATTCCACTCCACTCTATTCCATTCCACTCCGCTCAATTCCATTCTCCTCCACTCCGTTTCATTCCACTCCAATCCACTTCACTCCAATCCAATCTTCTCCACTCCAATTCATTCCACTACTCTCCGTTCCACTCCACTCCATTCCAATCCTCTCCATTCTGCTCCAAACCACTCCTTTTCTTTCCACTCCATTCCATTCCATTCCATTCCATTCCATTCCATTCCATTCCATTCTATTCCTTTCCATTGAATTCCATTCCATTGTATTTCATTCCATTCCACTCCACTCCATTCAATTCCAATCCTTCTAAGTCCATTCCGCTCTAATCCATTCCACTGCTCTCCACTCCATTCAATCCCATTCAACGCCATTTTATTCCACTCCACTCTACTCCATATCACTCCATTCTATTCCACTCTCTTCTATTCCACTCCAATCCATTCCATTCCACTCCACTCATTCCACTCCATTCCATACCACCCCATTCCATTCCACTCCACACCATTCCACTCCACACCATTCCACTCTACTCCACTCCATTGCATTCCACTACACCGCACTCCACTCCCATCCAATACACTGCACTCCATTCCACTCCACTCCACTCCACTCTATTCCACTCAACTCCATTCCACTCCACTGCACTCAATTCACTCCACTCAACTCCACTTCATTCCACTCCACTGCATTCCATTCCACTGAAGTCCACTCCCCAAACTCCGCACCACTCCATTCTACTCCATTCCACTCCACTTCTCTCCAGTTCACTCCATTATATTCCACTGCTCTACATTCTGTTACACTAAACTCCATTCCACACCACTCCATTCCATTCCACTGCATTCCACTCCACTCCATTCAACACGACATCATTCTATTCCACTCCATTCCATTCGATTCCACTGCATTCCATTTCATTCCTCTCCATTCCTTTCCACTCCATTCCATTCCACTCAACAACTTTCTATTCCGGTAATTTGCCCTCCACTCCATTTTTTTCCACTCCACTCCCGTCCATTACATTCCACTCCACTTCATTCCATTCCACTCCACTCCATTCCCCTCCACACCATTCCAGTCCACTCCACTCCAATCTATTGCATTCCACTCCACTCTATTGCATTCCAGTCCACTCCACTCCACTCCACTACATTCCAATAGATTCCAATCCTTTCCATTCCACTGCATTTCACTCCCCTCCATTCCACTCCATTCGATTTCATACCTTTCCACTCCATTCCATTCAACTCCTTTCCATTCCATTCCACTACATTCCATTCCATTCCATTCCATTCCTTTCTCTTCCATTCTATTCCACCACCCTCCATTATATTTCATTCCTCTCCCATCCATTACATTCCTTTCCACTCCATTCCATTTCACTCCACTCCATTCAACTCCACTCCACTAGATTCCACTGAACTCCAATCCACTCCATTTCACTGTATTCCATTGCATTCCACTCCAGTCCATTCCACTCCATCCCATTCCACTCCATCCCATTCCACTCCACCACTTTCCATTCCACTCTACTCCATTCCACTGTTCTCCACTCCACTGCATTCCACTCCATTGCATTCCAGTGCAATCCATTGCATTCCATTCCAATCCACTACCCTCCATTCCAATCCACTCCACTCCATTCCACTCCACTCCAATCCGTTCCGCTCCACACCTCGCTACTCCACTGCACTCTTTTCCACTCCACTGCACTCCATTCAGTTCCACTCCATTCCACTCCAATCCCCTCCATTCCACTCCTCTCTAGCCCGTTTCATTCTTCTCCACTCCATTCCATTCCACTCCACTCCATTCCACACCACTCCACTGCCCTCCACTCCATGCCACTGCATTACATTCTATTCTACTCCACACCACTCCACTCCATTAAATTCCACTACATTCCATTTCATTCCACTCCATTCCATTCCACTCTATTCCATTCCACTCAACTCCATGCCATTCCAATCATTTCCACTGAACTCTGTTGCATTCCACTCCACTCTATTCCATTTCATTCCACTTCATTCCATACCATTCCACTCCACTTCTTTCAACTCCACTCCACTACATTCGAATCCATTCCACTCCATTCCATTTCATTCCACTACACTCCACTTCACTCCATTCCATTCCATTCTACTCCAATGCACTCCACTCTATTTCATTCCATTACACTCCTTTCCATTCCAATCCACTCCATTCCCCTCCATTCCACTCCATTTCTTCCACACGATTCCACTCCATTCCATTGGATTCCATTCCATTCCATTCTAATCCATTCCATTCTATTCCATTCAATTGCTTTCCATTCCACTCCACTCCGTTCCATACAATCCTACTCCCCTCCATTACAATCCACTCCATTCTATTCCACTACACCCCACCCCATTCCATTTCACTCCACTCCACTGCACACCCCTCCATTCCACTCTAATTCACTCCTCTCCACCCCACTTCATTCCACTCCACTCCACTCCATTCCATTCCACTCCAATCCTTTCCACTACACTATATTCCACTCCAATCCATTCCTCTCCAGTCCACTCCATTCCACTCCACTCCTTTGCATTCCTCTCTTTTCTACTCCAGTTCACTCCATTCACCTCCATTCCATTCCATTCCATTCCATGGCACTCCACTACATTCCATACAATCCCACTCCACTCCATTCCAATCCACTCCACTCCATTTCACTCCATTCCATGCCATTCCGTTCCACTCCACTCCACTGCACTCCAATGCATTCCACTCTACTTCATTGCACTCCACTCCACTCCTTTCAATTCCACTCCAATCCATTCCACTCCACTACATTCCACTCCACTCCATTCCGCTCCACTCCACTCCATTCTAGTCCAATCCATTGCATTCCTCTCCTTTCTACTCCACTGCACTCTATTCCACTCCATTCCTCTCCATTCCATTCCATTCCATTCCCTTCCACTCCGTTCCATTCCATTCCATTCCATTCCCTTCCACTCCATTCCTTTCCATTCCATTCCACGCCATTCCATTCCACTCCACTCCATTCCACTCAAATCCATTCCACACCATTATACTCCATTCCACTCGACTTCACTTCATTCCATTCTAATCCACTCCATTCCTCTCCATTACTCTCCACTCCATTCCACTCCACTCCATTCCATTTCACTCCACTCCATTCCACTCCACTCCACTCCACTCCACGCCACTCCATTCCATTCCACTCAGCGGCATTTTTTGCCACTCCATTCCACTCCACTCCTTTCCATTCCACTCCCTTCCACCCATTACATTCCACGTGAATACATTCCATTCCACTCCACTCCATTCTGCTCCACTCCACTCCATTATATTACATTCCACTCCACTCCATTCCATTCCACTCCAATTTCACTCCACTTCACTCTTTTCCATTCCACTCTACTCCTTTCCATTCTACTCCATTGCACTTCATTCTATTCTCTTTCACTCCACTTCACTCCACTCTACTCCACTCCACTCTATTCCATTGCACTCCATTCCATTCCACTCAGTTCCATCCCACTCCATTCCCCTCCACTCCACTCCATTCCACCCCACTACCTTCCACTCCACTCCACTCCATTCCATTCCATTCCAATCCACTCCACTATGCTCAACTGCACTCCTTTCCGCTCCATTCCACTCAATTCCATTGCAATCCACTCCACTCCTCTCCATTCCATTCCATTCCACTCATTTCCACTCCATTCCGTTCCATTCAACTGCACTCCACTCAATTGCATTCCAATCCACGCCAATCTATTCCACTCCACTCCACTCCATTCCACTCCACTCCACTCCATTCCATTCCATTCCATTCCACTAAACTCCACTCCACTCCAATCCACTCAATTCCATTCCACTACCCTCCATTCCACTCCACTCCACTCCATTCCATTCCACTCAACTAAATTTCATTGCACTTCACTCCATTCTATTAAACTCCACTCCATTCAATTTCACCCCACTCCACTCCATTCCATTCCACTCTGTTCCATTTCATTCCACTCCATTCCAATGCATTCCACTTCACTGCACTCTGTTCCTCTTGACTCCTCTGCATTCCACTCCTTTGCATTCCAGTATGCTCCATTCAATTCCTCTCCACTCTATTCCACTCCACTCCACTCCATTCCATTTTATTTCTCTCAACTACATTTCATTCCACTCCACCCCTTTCCATTCCATTCCTTTCTATTACACTCCACTCCACTCCAGTCCACTCCACCACACTCTACTCCCGTCCGCTTCACTCCACTCAACTTCATTCCATTCCATTCCACTCCCCTGCAGTCCACTCAACTTCACTCCACTCCAATCCTGTCTACTCCACTCCAATCCATTACACTCCATTCCTCTCCACTCCATTCCATTCCATTCTGCTCCATTCCATTTCATTCCATTCCACTCAAATCCTCTCCACTCCATTCCACTCCACTCCACTCCCTTTCACTTCTTTCCACTCCACTACATTCCATTTTACCCCTCCATACTCCACTACACTACACTTCTGTCAACTCCTCTGCACTTCATTCCATTCCACTCAACACCTATCCATTCCATTCCACTCCATTGCATTCCGCTTCAGTCCACTCCACTCCCCTCCATTCCACTCCGCTCCACTCCATTCCACTCCATTTCTCTATTCCATTCCACTCCATTCCATTCCAGTCCACTCCACTGCACTCCACTCCATTCCTCTCCACTCCACTCCACTCCACTAAACTCCATTCAATTCCACTCCTTCCCATTCCATTCCACTCCACTCCATTCCATTTGACTCCACTCCACTTAATTCCATTCCACACCATTCCATTCCATTCCATGCCATTCCACTGCATTCCACTCCACTCCATTCAATCCCATTCCAACCTATTCCATTCCACTCCATTCCTATCCTTTCCATACCACTCTATTCTATTCCGCTGCATTGCATTCCATTTCAGTCCATTCCAATCCACTCCATTCCACTCGATTCCCTTCATTCCATTAAATTCCAGTCCTCTCCACTCCACTCCAATCCATTCCATTCCGCTCCATTCCTCTGCACTCCACTCCACTCCACTAAACTCCATTCAATTCCCCTCCTTCCCATTCCTTTTCACTCCATTCCTTTCCACTTCACTCTACTCCTTTTAATTCCATTCCATCGTATTCCATTCCATTCCACTCCATTCCACTCCACTCCATTCAATCCCATTGCAACCTATTCCATTCCACTTTATTCCACTCCATTACTCTCCATTCCATACCACTCCATTCCATTCCTTTCCATTCCTCCCAATTCCATTCCACTTCACTCCATTCCACTACAATCCATTCCACGCCAGTACATTCCATTCCACTCCACTCCACTTCGTTCAATTCCACTCCGCTCCACTCCACTCCATTCTATTTCTCTCCAATCCATTCCGTTTCACTCCACTCCATTCCACTCCAATCCAATCCACGGCACTCCATTCCATTTCATTCCACTCCATTCCACTCAACTCTACTTGATTCAATTCCACTCCTCTCCATTCGATTCCACTCCACTGCATTCCGCTCCACTCCACTCCATTCCATTCCATTCCACTGCATTCCACTCCATTCCATTCCACTCCATTCCAATACACACCACTCCACTCCACTAAACTCCATTCCACTCCACTCCATTCTATTAGACTCCACTCTATTCCATTCCACTGCATTCCATTCTTTTCCCCTCCCTTCCATTACACTCCATTCCATTCCACTCAGCTGCATTTATTTCCACTCCATTCCATACCATTCCACTCCACCCATTCCATTCCACTGCAGTCCATTCCATTGCACTCCACTCCATTCCACTACACTAAACTCCATTCCATTCCATTCCACTCCCCTCCATTCCATTCCACCCCAATCAATTTCGCTCCACTCCTTTCCATTCCACTCCACTTCATTCCATTCCACTCCATTCCACTACATTGTATACCATTTCACTCCACTCCACTCCATTCTACTGAACTCCACTACACTCTATTGCATTGAAATCCATTCCATTCCACTGCATTCCATCCCACTCCATTCCCCTCCACTCCACTCAATTCCACTTACCTCCTTTCCTCTCCACTGCATTCCATTCCCTTCCATTCCACCCCACTCCACTACACTCCACGGCACTCCAGTCCTCTCCATTCCACTCAATTCCATTCCAGTCCACTCCGCTCCACTCCATTCCATTCCATTCCATTCATTTCCACCACATTCCGTTCCATTCCACTCCACTCCACTCAATTACATTCTTCTCCACTCCATTCCATTCCACTCCACTCCATTCCACTCCACTGCACTCCATTCCATTTCATTCCACTAAACTCCATTACATTCCACTCCACTCCACTCCCTTCCAGTCCTCTCCACTCCACTCCATTCCTTTATATTCCACTCCTTTCTGTTCCAGTCCTCTTCTTTCCCCTCGTTTCCACTCCTTTCCATTTCATACCATTCCATTCCATTCAATTGGATTACGTTGCATTCCATTCCATTCCATTCGGTTCCACTGCATTCCACTCCACTTCATTGGATTCCATTCCATTCCACTCCATTCCATTCCACTCCACTCCATTCCATTGCACTCCACTCCATTCAATTCCACTCCACTACACTCTGCTCCACTCCACTCAATTCCATTCCACTCCACTCCATTCCATTCCATTCCACTCCACTCACCTCCACTCCACTTCTCTCCACTCCATTCAATTTCACTCATCTTCATTCCATTCCTCTCCACTCTATTCCCCTCCTCTCCACTCCTTTCCTATCCATTCCACTCCTCTACACTCCTCTCCAATCCAATGCATTCTACTCCACTCGTCTCCACTCCATTCCCCTCCATTCCACCCCATTCCACACCACTCCATTCTACTCCATTCCATTCCTTTACTCTCAATTCCATTCCACTCCATTCCACTCAACTCCATTCCACTCCATTTTTTTCCACTGCACTCCCTTCCACTACATTCCACTCCACTCCATTCCATTCCATTCCATTCAATTCCATTCCTTTCCATTCCATTCCATTGCACTCCACTCCTCTCTACTCCTTTCCGCTCCATTCCTCTCCATTCCATTCCACGCCATTGCATTCCATTCCATTCCACTCCATTCCATTCAATTCCAGTCCACTCCACTCCAGTCCAATCCATTCCACTCCTTTCCATTCCACTTCACTCCATTCCCCTCCTTTCCACTCCATTCCTCTGCACTCCACTCCAGTTGATTCCATTCCACTCCACTCCCGTCCTCTGCACTCCACTCCATTCCATTCCACTGCGCTCCATTCCACTCCACTCCATTCCTCTCCATTACACTGCACTCCACTGCATTCCACTCCATTGCATTCCATTCCATTCCATTCCTCTCCATTCGATTGCACTCCATTCCATTCCATTCTTCCCCACTCTACTCCACTCCACTCCGCCACTTTCCATTCCATTCCATTCCACTGCATTCCATTCCACTCCACTGCATTCCACTCCATTACACTCCATTCCATTCCATTCCACTGCATTCCATTCCACTCCACTACATTCCACTCCATTACACTCCATTCCATGCCACTCCTTTCCATTCCGTTCCACTGCATTCCATTCCAGTCCATTCCATTCCACTCCAGTCCATTCCACTCCACTCCATTCCATTCTATTACATTACATTCCAGTCCACTCCATTCCATTCCACTCCATTACACTCCACTCCATTCCATTACACTCCATTCCGTTGCATTCCACTCCATTCCATTCCAGTCCATTTCACTCCATTCCTCTCCATTCCACTCCATTTCTTTCCACTCCACTCCACTCCATTCCTTTCCACTCCACTCCACTCCATTCTTTTCCAGTCCACTCCATTCTTTTCCTCTCCACTCTTTTCCTCTCCACTCCATTCAATTCTATTCCACTCCACAAATTCCACTCATTTCCACTCCATTCCATTCCAATTCATTGCATTCTACTCCATGCCATTCCACTATCTTCCACTTTACTCCCCTCCATTCCATTCCACTCCATTCCATTCCATTCCACTACTTTCCATTCCACTCCCCTCCATTCCACTCCACTCCATTCCCTTCCCTTCCACTCCACTCCACTCCATTCCATTCTATTCCACACCTCTCCACTCCACTCCATTCCATTCCACTCCACTCCACTCCATTACATCCCTCTCCATTCCATTCCACTCCACTCCATTCCTGTCCTCTCCCCTCCTTTCCTGTCCATTCCACTCCACTCCACTCCAATCCACTGCATTCTACTCCACTCCACTCTACTCCACTCCATTCCACTCCACTCTACTCTATTCCACACCACTCCTTTCCAATCCATTCCATTCCTTTACCCTCCATTCCCTTCCACTCCTTTCCATTCCACTCCACTCCATTCCCCTCCATTCCTCCCCATTGCCCTTCATTCCACTCTGTTCTACTCCACTCCATTCCATTCCATTCCCCTCCATTCCATTCTATTTTTCTCCATTCCCTTCCATTCCATTCCATTCCATTCCATTGCATTCCACTCCATTGCATTGCATTCTATTCCATTCCATTCCATTACACCTCTTTGCATTGCATTCCATTCCATTCCACTCCACTCCACTCTAATCCATTCCACTCCATTCCATTTCACTCCACCCCATTCCATTCCACTCCACTCCAGTACATTCCTTTCCACTCCAATCCATTCCCCTCCTGTCCACTCCATTCCACTCCACTCCATGGCATTCCATTCCTCTCCACTCCACTCCTCTGCACTCCATCCATTCCAATCCACTGCATTCCATTCCACTCCATTCCATTCCAATCCACAACACTCCACTCCACTGCTCTCCTCTGCACTCCACTCTACTTTGCTCCATTTTACTCCACTCCACTCCATTTCATTCCACTGCATTTCTTTACGTTCCACTCCATTTTATTCCAGTCCATTCCATTGCATTCCACTCCTTTCCATTCCACTCCCATCCACTGCAATCCATTCCATCCCACTCCACACCGCTTCACTCCATTTCATTGCACTCTTCTCCATTCCATTCCACTCTACTCCACTCCACTCCATTCCGTTCCATTCCACTCCACTCCACTACACTACACTACACTCCATTCTCCTCCATTCCACACTCCTCCATTCCTCTCCATTCCATTGTCTTCCTTGACATTCCAGACTCCCATTGACGATGCTGATTCCATCACGTTCCTGACTGCCAGAGACATGTGAGGCTTTGAGTTTCTGCCGAGGGCTTACCTGATCCTGAAAACTTCTATAAGGGTTTTTCCCTTGGCTATCTAGCACTGACACCTAGAAAGAGGTAAAACTTGATGTGTCTTTCAGGCCGATTCTGAGAAAACACTAAACTCCCCATATTATATGAAGGGCAGATATGTGTCTTAAAAAAATTCAGAGTGAAACCAGAACGCATGTTGCCAACAAGACTGATTTAGGTAATTAGAAATACAATGTTTGTTGCCAGGACTGAGGCCAGAAATAAATCATTTTTCTTTAACGAATCTCTCTGTTTACATTGTTCTCTTTCATCACAGGACTGGCTCAGAAAAGACCTGTTTTTGTTTTTGTTGTTGTTATTTTGTTTTGACTCATTGGCCAGTAGGATTGGGTCCCATTGAGCTTCCGCCCGGTGGCGGGTGGGGGTGGTGCCACAGCTGAAGCCACTGTTGTGACTCACAGGGATGTGGGGTGAAGGCATCTTCCCTGCTGTGGTGGCATCTGCCTGCTGCTGGCCAGACCCACGTGGGTCTGGCCCAGTTGCTTCGGGGTCAGAGGGTGTCACGTCTGACTGTCTCACATTTGTATCCTCAGCTTTCAACACAGTGCTTAACCAACACCCAACACAACGATGACAGAATGAGTAAACGATTGATGGCTTTGAAGGTTGGCAAGACAAATCTATCTTAATCTCTCCACACACGTATACATATATACACACTAGGGGAGAAGGAAGACAGTGGAGGAGGATAGGGAGAATGATAGATCCATAAGGTATTTCATGGGTCAGAATCATAGGTGACTGCCTGAGGGCAAGAGGGAGGACCCATCCCTGTCACCATAGCTCAGAAGTTCCAGGTCCATCAAGAGCCCATTTCCTCTGTTCCTGGAATGCCGCATGAAAACGTAAGAGCAGGCCATGATCAGAAGGCTCCAGACCAGAAAGCCCATCTGTACCCACTTTGCTCCTCACACCTGGTCTCTGGCCCACAGAATACCCCCTGCAGAATCATGTGAAGTCCTGCCCTTGTCCTGGTTGTTTCTCTTTCTCTGTATCTCAAGAACTCACTGGTTTCATCTCTGGTTTCACCACATCATGACATTACATGCACGAGGGGGCTCTACCTCTTCATGGCATCATCAGCCAGGGGTGAGGAGAGAAGCCCCAGTTTCCACAAGAAAATGAGGGTGGTGCCACCACATTTAACTCCTTCCTTGCCCAATCTGCTCTTTCCTTGGGAAAGGAGTGTCATGACGATATCAACCCTTATTCTACCTGAATAGTCACGGTACTGTGGCATCAAGGACAGATGCCCTTGATGACAAAAGTGGTTGATTGTGTGTGTAATGGAGAGATTGTACTTCACATACATTTTTCTGCCTTAAAATAACCAGAAGAAAATCACTGTTCTTTTGGCTTAAGCAAAAATAAAACTGTTATTTTGAAAGCCTTATTTAAAGGGTTCATTATCTTTCAGGCTGCTAACTATATACTCTGCACCACACTCAATAAAAGCTTCATATAACTGTCTTTGAAATTAACAGCCACCTCTTGTGTTTTCAAGTTATTAAAGACGTTGTCATGGTGGAGAGATTGCAAACTTTCTATACTGGTGATTAGTCAGCGGGACCACATCCCACCAAATCCCCCAGAATGTTTCTAACAAAAAGTTCCTTGTGACCCAAGCGCCAATTTTTCTTTCTTGTCTGTTCATTCCAATTCCACTCAATTACTCCTGAGCAAGCTGTTTTATTCCTGTCAACTCATGTTATTTACTGGAGCCTGTCAAGAAGACCGAAGTGGAGGCTGATATTATGTAGGATGTTTTGAGACTCATTAACACACTTTAAAACAATCACCTATTGTGATATTCACAGTTCTATGTGGGGTGGCCTGGCCTGGACCATTTGGAGCCTGGATCACTTATTTGCTATTAAAAGCTTCAAGTTAGAATGGATTTTTGCTGCAAAATTTTCGGACTTGGGGATGCAAGGCCTGGTCAGGGTTCCTGGAGATTTCTGGGCAAGGATCTGAAAATAAATGGATTAAGTATGTGTGTGGTGGGGAGGCCGGGGGAGGACTCCTAGACCAGCTCTGTATCTCTGATGAGCTGATGAGAAATGGGTGTCAGCCCCAACTCGCCAGAGAGGTCTTCATCCTAGAACAGAGGCAGATTTCCTTAGGAAAGTGGGTAAGAGCAGTTTTCCTCTGAAGATAAAGTTCCCTGCTGTGTCATTTTTAGTCCGTCATTATTCATGCAATAATGAACAATCTGTCTGAACAAGTCACCAGGCTAGATTTCCTGAAAGTGTAAAGCAGATAACTGTATAGTCCTTAGATGGTTAGCTGAAGAGTCCATTTAATTTATGCCATATGGAGTGTCAGGTGCCAGGTGGGCCACGTGCAGCCTGAACTCTGCAGGGAAGGGCCAAGGCAGTCTCAATCTGTCCACACCCCTCCCAGCCTCCTCTTGCTCCCCACTTTTGTCTCGCACGTGCCGGCTGCCCATCCTCCCTCCTGCTACCAGCATCTAGTCCTGGCTACACGTTTCTAGGAACTCAGCCTTGACAGCCCCTGGGGTCGGAGGTTGATTCCTGTTCTAAGCTCCCTCAGAATGCAACAAAGAACCTGTGTTCAAGCTGGGGTGGAAGTCGAGGATTCTTGATTTCCAAGTCCCAAGATCTAGAATTTCTTATTTATAAAAAAAAATCCTTGAAAAAAAGGCCTCCTTTCTTCAGTGATTCTAAGATATTTTATGACGGCACGGTCTCAAAGCAATACTGAGAAAAAGGCCAAGTCACCTGGGCCACTGCCTGCATCATTTCACACACTTCTAGAACATGGTTTTCCCACCCGTGTCTCATGTGTTTGCAGGTGTCATCTCTACCCCAAGCCGGGGGTGTAGGGTCAGCCAGAAGCAGCACAGGCAGAGGGGAATGAAGCAGGAGGTCCAGAGTCTGTATCATCATACAGGGGTGAGCTAGGCCAGCACTTCCCACCTGTGTCCCTCCAGCAGTGGGATGCTAATCTCTACTCTAAGTGCAGATGGTCCTGTGTCGTATAAGCCCGGGAAGGACTGCCCACTGTATCCCCAGCTTCTACGCTGGTTCTCACTACCATGAGTTTAGAAAGTGCTAGACTAGTTGATCTCCAAGATCCTTCCTAACGCTTGAAATTCCAGGAGGCAATGAATAGAGAATGTGAATGCAAAAAAAAATTTAAAGGCATTTGCCTAAGGCAGGGGTTTCTACCCTGGCTGTGTATAATAATCACCTCGGGAGATATATAAAAAATAAAAGCCCTCAGGCCTATGTTCTCAGCCTGAGGATTAGGATTCATCAAGTCTGGGGTGGACCCCAGCCTCTGCATTTCTAGCAACGCTCCAGTCAGTTTTGATGAACAGCAGGCGTCAGAGCTGAGAAGTTGGGGCCGGGAGTAAAACGAGACATTTTCCCAGGCAGTGAGATGAGGGAAGAGCTGACGCAGGATTCTAACATGCCAACTTCTGTTCATGGAGTTTGGCCAACGGGTGATTGTGCCTAGCACATCATTAGAAGATACTTACCCAGAAGTCAACAATTAAAGATGCAGTGAAACAGAATTTGTTTTGTTTTATTTTAAACCTCAGACTGACACTCAAATGACATCCCAAGGGCAAACATCTTACAGCTTAAAGGATAGGTAGCCACCAGCCTTAGCCATTGCTTGGAATCAGATGGAAAACAGTGCTGGCTGCCCACCCTAGGAGCACTGGGGACCTGAGAGGACAAGGGCCCCTATAAGTGGTAGCCTTCTCAGTGTCTTCTGGCTGCAAGCAGAGCTGACCCAGCCTTCTGTTCAGAAGGTCTCAGCTTCAGGACAGAGAGGCTGTCCTGGGTGGCGGGGTAGGACAGAGAGAGCAGGAGTTCAGGAAGGGGATCAGACCAGCTGCCCAGGCCAACGAGGTTTGTTCTCATAAACCAGGCTGAGTTCCTGAGTGAGGAGGACACAGTGGCCCCTGCTTCATGGGAGAGCAGTTCAGCAGCCTGACTGCTGGGGAAGTGTTGCCTGTTGCCTGGGGTTGTCTGCTCCTGCTCAGGAGGATGAGCCAAAAGAGATTAATCTTACAGATGACTGGGGTTTAGGGTGAAGTGCAAGCCCAGAAAATAGGTCTCATTCCTGCTACTCCCTCTAATATATTCTATAATTCAGACAAACTGCATGAGTCATTGCTGTTTAGACAAATCCTCTGCTTCTCCTCTTTTGTGCATTTGCTCCTCTTTTCCCCTCCCTACCCCATCTGCTGGACTCCTACACGTACTCCCAGGCCTACGTCAAATGTCTCCTCTGCTCAGCTCTCCATAGGGTGCAGTGATATCACTCCCATTGGGAACTGCCAGAGTATACTGCATGTATCTATCATCTGGCATCTCTCTTACACAGCCGTGTTTCTTATCCCCTTCTATTGCAAGCACTCAGAAGGCAGAGACTGGGTCTTTGTCTCCCTTGGCCCCAGCCTGTTTCAATATTGTGCTTTTTATGTATTATAGCAGGCACCCATGAATGTCTATGGAATGGAAGTTAATTCTGGGCTGACAGTAATTGTAAAGCATCACAACCCTTGCTAGCTGTCATGGGGAAGCAATTCTGGGCACTGTCCCCATCACTGCTGTCACCAAGTATGTAGCATGATGTATGAGTCCATTCTCATGCTGCTAATAAAGACATACCTGAGACTAGGTAATTTATAAAGGAAAGAGGTTTAACAAACTTACAGTTCCACGTGGCTGGGGAGGCCTCACAATCATGATGGAAGGTGAAGGAGGAGCAAAGGCACATCTTACAACGCAGCAGGCAACAGAGCGTGTGGAGGGAACTGCCCTTTATAAAACCATCAGATCTCATGAGACTTATTAACTTTCACGAGAATAGCATGGGAAAAGCTCGCCCCCATGATTCAGTTACTTGCTACCAGGTCAATTCAAGATGAGATTTGGGTGGGGACACAGCCAATCCATATCACATGGCATTGGCAGATGGCTAGACTTCCTGAGCTGAGCCAAGGACTTGCCTGGAAGGTCTAGACCCCTCTGAGTTCCAGCTTCCCTGTGGAGCTGAAAGACACTCCAGTGTGTGTTACATTTGGTATCCTACTCAAGAAATAGTGAAAAAAGGACATTTACACCACTGGGAATAAAACTTGGGTGTACACATGATTCACACTTTACAGCAGATGGGTCAATTATCTGATGAATATGGTTGATCATTTATCATAATGTAACCTTTGTTTTTGAGATGAAGTCTCGTTCTTGTCACCCAGGCTGTAGTGCAATGGCACGATCTTGGCTCACTGTAACCTCCACCTCCCGGGTTCAAGTGATTCTCCTGCCTTAGCTTCCCGAGTAGCTGGGATTACAGGCCTCTGACACCACGTCCGGCTTGTTTTTGTAATTTTAGTAGAGATGGGGTTTCTCCATGTTGGCCAGGAGGGTGTCAAACTCCTGACCTCAGGTGATCCACACATCTCGGCCTCCCAAAGTGCTGGGATTACAGATGTGAGCCACTGCACACGGCCTCACATACCTTTCTTATGTAGAGTTTTTAATGTTTATAAATCTTACCTCCTTAAGAACAATTAAGTTTCCTGAGAACAAAATCGGTCACTATAGTGTTAGAAAGGATACGGGTTTTGGAGTCAGACAGAGCTAGATTTGAAGCTCAGTTTTATCATTTCATGGCCAGGTGCTGCCATGATTATTTTTTATGTGTCCACTTGCCTGGGTCACATGGTGCAAAAATATTTTGTCAAATATTATACTGGATGTTTATGTGAGGATATTTTTGGATGATATTTAACATTTGAATCAGTAGACTGAAGAAAGCAGATTGCCCACTATATGTAGGTGGACCCTATCCAATCAGATGAAGGTCCAAATGAGCAAAAAGGCTGACCCTCCTCTAAACAAAATAGAAACCATTCTGCCTGATGACCTTTGAACTAGAAGGAAAAATTAATTGTTTGCTGCCTTTGGACTTGAAGTGTACCTGTACCTCAAGCCTGCCAGTCTTCATACTGTAACTACACCATTGGCTCTCCTGGGTCTCCAGCTTGTCAACTCACCCTACAAATCTTGGGCTTTGCCAGCCTCTGTAATTGTGTGAGCCAATTCCTTATAATATCTCTCTCTCCCAGTAGTTCATTTTCTCTGGAGAACACTGACTAATATAGGCACTTCTGTATTAAGAACATTCTGAACAGAATTATGTTGCTAGGGCCCTGCAATGGGAGGCACCTTCTCACTTTCATCAGCTGGAACCTGCTCATCCACATGACACAGAGGAGTTATATGTGACGTTTGTTCACCTGCTGACCCCTTTGTCACGGTGTCCCATTTTCCATGGGTACTTCTGTCCACATCCTCTCCTAGAGTGTTTGCCTCAGAAGGGCTTGAGGGGATTAGCATCCAGCAACAAGCAGGCTCTGCAATTAAGGCTCAAATTAAGAAAAACAAATGAGTTTACACTGGCCTTGGGTATTTCCAGTAGCTAGAAAATCCCACTGCTGGAAACCTAGTGAAGTCGTCTCAATACAGTATTTTATAGATCCTGCAGTAGCAGGAGATGAATTAACCCGAGAAGACCATAGTGGTGGGGCAGAAAGAAAGCCTGTCAATGACCAGATCTTTTTAAAACGAAATGGCTGTTTCCGTTTTGGTGTATGTGTGGTTGTCTTTATTTTGGATGCTAAGGTGCGTTTCTTTCCCCCCCGCCCACCGAGAGTTTCAAGAAAAGAGAGCCCCATCTTCAATTCACTATCCAGGTGAACAACAGTGAACATGGCTCCTCTTCCAAGATCCCACTCCAAAAAGCTGACATCAGGTTTTTGACACAGACCGCCTGTGGGCACACTGTAAAGAAGTGGACTTTGTTTTGACAGGGGCCTGTGGAAGCGGACTTTTAGTGCTCAATCCCTTAAACACAAAGTGTTATGAATATGGCTTTGACGATTGTTAGCAAAAGTGGATTTGTCACACAGCCACGAAACCAGCAGCTGTGTCTTTGCCACAGAGTTTGACCCCGTCCTGCATATAGACAGGCATCCTGTGTAATTACTCAACATTTGCCACACAATACAATAAACTCGAGGTCTGCCCACTGGGGACTTTTATGTGTCACAGTGGACTGGATTAGGCCCAAAAAAGAATAGTTGTAGTGTACGCTCCATCCCAACTGCTCATTCCCTCTCCTTGATCTACCCTTTGTGGGAAGCCAGGAATGCTAAATATTTCTTGTAGCTCTGCCCAATCCTCTACTTTGTTTATACTCCCCCCAACTCCCCAGCCCTAGCCCTGTCTCCTCCTGTGGCAAGCTCAGACCTTCTTCCCTGAGCTGTTGAACGACTACATTTTTTGTCTGAGATGATACATCAAAGGTATTTCAAATAAAGAAAGACAAAAACATAAAATGATGTCTGCTGGACAGCCAGCCGTGCTCTGGCAAGGATAATATGCAATCTCACCTAATGGACTTCCTGATATTGACGAACTGTACCAAAGTTTCTAGGCCAGAAATAAAACAACTTTTTTCAAAAAGTGAAATAAGATAGAGGCAGCTGAAGGAACAGGAGGTGGAAAATTGATGGGGAACATTTTTAAAGAACCCATGGGCCACTCTGTATGTTTGTTTCCTGAAGGGCAAAATTAAGCCCTTAGAGCAGGTCTTTCATTTTTTTGTTTCTTTTCTAATTCTAGAATCTCCTCTAACCACAATGGGCAAGATAAGTGGGAATGTGACTTCCCCTAGAGTTATTGCTAAACATTTGTGAGGACATTTTCTTCAACAAGTTTGTTTTTCCCCAAAATACATTTCCAAGCAGTATAACCCTGGAGATGGAGCCTCAGGGAAGGTACACATGCTTCAAGTGTGCAGTAATTGCAAATTGCTAAACAGAAAAATACAGGTATGGCCATGTGTCCAAGTCTTTCTGGGGCATGCTCCACTCATGCCTGTTGACCTGGCATGATTATTAATAGTGATCTCTTTCAAAAATATCCAGTTCAGATAATAAATTCTATGAACATCCTGACTTTCAGCCGGTCTGGTGGTCAGCCTGGCCATGCTGAGGGGAGGGATGACATCTGAACACACAGCCAGGTGGCACGGTGGTCTCAGAGGCTACAGTGCTGCTTACCCCTTGGGGTAGGTCCTGAGCTTTGCACCCTGCTGCTGACTGTATGTTGCAAATGAGATTTTTGTTTTAAAGCCCTAGACTTGAAAAATCAGACACTTGGCTTTTGAATAGAAGGCAAAGCGGACATCTGGGTCTCTTCTTCCCCACCTCAAGTCCTCATTGTCATGGAGACTCCCTAACATCTGTGAGTGGATATGACCCTACCAGCTGAGGCAGGCTTCTCTTAGCCCCATTTTCCCTCCATGATGGGTGGAACATCCTTAGGTAGAAAGAAAAACAACACCCAACATACTTTTATTAGCAAGTGTCAAAAATGTATCAGAGTTTTCTCTGATGTCCATGCTTATCCAATCAAGCTATTGGCAATTCCATGTGAGTCTGGGGTTGGAGGTAGGAGGTAGATTTTGGAGAGTGGGGAAGAAGGGCAGAGAAGCAGTTGATTTGTGGTGTATTCTCAAGGCATGCACTAAATATTTGACTCATGAGTATGTGAATAATTGCATCTGTGGAGGAGATTTTTGTACAGTCAATAAATTTTAGCATATTAGAGAGTTTTGCTTACCTTTAACAAAAATTCATAGTAACACATGCACTCATTTCCAGACATTTTTTCCTAAAAATACTACATTTGGGTGTGTTTCATTTTACTCCTTAGGCAAAGCTGATTTATAATTCTGACAGTGCACCTACAAAATGAATATGAAAGATGGCCTGTTTGATTTGTGTTTTATATTTTAACTGGGATTAATTTTAAATGAGTTGAGAAGTGACCTGTGATGTTGCAAAATGCCTCTTTAACTTCCAAGTTAACCATGATATTGATGGACACAAGATAGATGCTAGGACTATAATTAAAACTTGTCTGCCAAGTCCCACTCTGTTGAAATTGGGGTGATGTTGCATGGAAGCGATGGTTTTGGTTAAACTCTAGGTCTAAAAGAAAAATGAAATAATAACATAATTGTCAAATCTATCCACATTTATTTGCATATAACATGTGATTTCTAAATAGGGTAAGACACAGGAGCATTGAGGAAATAAGAAACCTGTTGGTTTTTAATGTGGGTGTATCTTTCTTCCCTGTTTTTTGCCTGGGCTAATGGGCCGATGGTTAAACAGTAGAATATTTAGAATTGGAGAAGTCATCAATGGACTTAAAAAATATCTCTGAATCTTGTAATCTACTTTGGAGAGATCCTCTGAACAGAGGGCATGAAATAATTCAAACAAAGAATGACCTCAATGAGAAGAACTGAAATAAAATTCAAATAGTGAATACACACACTCGCACGTTGGTGAGCTAAACAAACTGAAGCTCAGTTTTAGGCAGGTTACAATCAGAGTACATTTGTTTGATAAACAGTATTTAGACAGCAGCTTTTCATTTCTTTTTTGCTAGATACTTCATCATCTATTATCTCCTCTTTTCATAGAATGCCTCCATGCCATTGCTGTGGAATTCAAGACACAGCTCTGTTTACACAGTGAGCTGGTGCTGACGGCCTGCCTCCCGTCAACTCCTCCCCTTCCTTTCACTAATTAACATTCTTGACATTTGACTTGACAGTCATATTTTAGAGGGTTCAGACACAACTCTTGTAAACAAAAATAATATTCTTGCTGTGAATTCTTGCTCTTTTAGAAGAAATAAACTGGTGCTGTTTCCAAACTAAAACAAATGCAGTTGATTTTTGTCAGTTACGAGTTTCTAAGATTTTTGTTGTTTTCTTTCTATTTGCTTCAGAATACACCAGAGAACTTCTCTGCCATGAACCTGGTCTGTTCTTTTAAAAGATAGCTCCTTTATAAAACAATCAGAATGTATTAGAGGTTTTTAAAAATGCATTATAGAGTGTTTTGATACATGGTGTGGCATGGATGTCATTTAGTCCTGGAACCAAAATGGATGTGAAGAATAATATAACTGATAAAAAGCAGAGTACTCCTCATCTAAGGAAAGTATTTCAAGCTAGACCAAATGGGCTTTCCTTTGATGCATCACAAATACCAGGCTTAAATCACTTCCAATACAGATTATGTATCTGTCACATTTTGCTAACTTGGAGATGTAAACTACTGTTCTGATTCCTAAATTATTCCTCTGGTCAAAGTAAATAACAATCTTTAAATTAAAATGAAAATATATTAATAATTACTTTAGAAGTGTAAAATGTATACAAACTGCTTGTACAGAATTGCTTTGGTCCTTGACAGACCAAACGTTATCAAAATATTAATAACAGCAGTGATAGTATATTGCTGACATTATACATTTACATCAGCAAATTTCTTTCCCAGAATATCCTGGAACTCTAAAGCTATGAATCAAAGTCAGCTTATACTTAATATCAATTTTTATTTACTATGTGCATTAGTTACTGGCTATCTTTTAACTGTTTCCCCTTTCTTTAACAAAGAATGATAGGTTTTCCATTTCAAAAGTAAGATAGATGAAAGTGGGACTTCTTATTTATACAATTAAGTACAGTCTTATTCCTTTTCAACTATATTTTGAAATAATTTTAGATTCAGTTGCCAAAATAGTATAGAGTTCCCTTTCACTCTTCACTCAACTTCTATTATGAGCATCTTTCATGACCCACTACAGTACAATGATGAAATCTGCTTTAACATTAACCCAATTCTAATAATCAAAGATCTTATTCAAATTTTGCAAGTTTTTCCACTAATGTCCATTTTCTGACACAGGAGCAAATCCAGGATCCCATGTTGTTCTTATATCCTTTCAACATGCTCCCAGCCTTTTCTGAGCACTTCCTTTCTGTCTGTCGAGCTCTTTTAAAAGAATGACTCAACTGTTTTTACAAAGTTGATACATACCCATTACAATAAATTCAAGCCACACAGAAAACTACAAAGAACCACAGAAAAATTATACAAACTCTTGCTGAAGAGCAGCTATTGTGAATGAAAAGAACAATGAAAGAGCAACTATTAACATTGGATAAAAGTTGTCCTGTACATCTCTTTATACATCCATACAGTTTAAAAAATAAAAAGGTAGAATTTTGATGAAATAGAATCCATTTTTGTAATAAAAGTAGAAATTAGACATATGAAATGTGATTTTAAATAAAAGGTATTAAATGTAAGTTTCCTTTAACAGAAGAAAAAGAAACTAAAATATAATTGGATACGCTGGATTTCAGGTAAACCTTTCTTCACAGAAGACATTATTTTCTATCATCTCTCTAAAGCCAAGAAAAAGATTATGAAAAACATTTAGACACTCATCATACTTAGCTTGTGTTGACTTATAAATCACCCTCAAAACACTGTGGCTGAAAACAAACACCATTAATCATAGCTGCAGACCTGCAGGTCTGTAGGGGTGGTCCTGCTGATATGGCTTGGCTGATCTTGGGTGAATGAGTTAGGCCATGGGTCAACTGGAGCCTGGCTGGCCTAGAATCACCTCATTCATGTGGTAGTTGGTTATCTCTTGGCAGGGACAGTGGGGGTGACTTGGCCCTGTGATCTCTCATACTCCAGCAGGATGGCCCAGGCTTCTTCACATAACGGTAGCAGGGCTGTGAGAAAGGACTGAAAGTATGCAAGGCCTCTTCGGGCTGTAAGCTCAGGGCTGCCATGAAATAATTTTCACCACATGCTATGGGTCAAAGCAAGCCATGAGACCAGCCTAGATTTAGGGCTGGTTATCCATACTATTTTTATGTACTGGTATTGATCACTCAAATAAGTTTTCATTACAGCATTATTCTCTCAATCTGCAGATTTAAGCATTTGTTCTGGGATTGTTTTTCCTATTTTTTGAACATATTTTCTGTTTCTTTGGTTCATTTCTTCTTTGCAAACACCAATTATATATTTGTTGAATATTCCTTACCTATCATTCATGTCTTTTTCCTTATAATCTTTTTTTATGATAATATGTATATAGAATGTCTCTCCAGATATTTGCAGGCCTGAATCGTTCATGATGTTATACAGGTTTCAGATAAAATATCCTGCAGTGAGAGAGATTTTCATGGTCACCCAATTGTTTTCATACTCTATTATGTTGTTCTGTTTTACTTGTTTTAATAGCACTATCAAAATTTATTCTTTACTTTTTACTATCCCCCATCCACCCTGGATAGTAAGCTCCATGAAGGCAGAGATGTTGACTTAGACACTGCTGAGTTCCCAGCATCTAGAAGCACTCCAAGCATGGAGGGGGTATTCACTAATTAGTTAAATGAATGAATGAATGAATGAATGAATGAATGAATTACTAAAAGTACTGTCTGTTTTAAGTTAGGTTTATTCTAACTTTGGTTGCTTGTAGTATGGCTTTTTTTTTTTGACAGAGTCTTGCTCTGTCGCCAAGCTGGAGTGTAGTGGCACGATATGGGCTCACTGTAACCTCCGCCTCCTGGGTTCAAGCAATTCACCTGCCTCAGCCTCTCGAGTAGCTGGGACTACAGGCACATGTCACCACGCCCAGCTCATTTTTTGTATTTTAAGTAGAGATGGCGTTTCACCATGTTGATCAGGATGGTCTCGAACTCCAGACCTTGTGATCCACCCGCCTTGGCCTCCCAAAGTGCTGGGATTGCAGGCATGAGCCACTGCTCCTGGTTGTAGTATAGCTTTTTTTTCTGTAATTTTTTTATTTACACTTATCTCCTATAATTTCTTTGAGATTATAGAGAACTCTACCCAAACTCTTTGTTTTCTTAGATGATTTCTTTTGTAGTTCTTTATCTTTGTCCTACATTTCTTTCTTCTTTATTTTCTCTCTCATTTCAAAGCATGTATGTGGGATGGTTCTTTCAGATTGTCATTCATCTTGTATACTTGCTGAAAAATCATCCATGGAGGAAGGGAAGTAGTGAGGAATGTTAGTAAACTTGAACACAGTATATTGCCTCCTATAGCCTCTCACCAAATCTATTCTTTTCCTTATTCATGAACTGTATATCACACCTCAGTTTCTGTCATTGGAATGGTTGATAATTTGGAAAATGCAATTTTCCTCCACTTTCTCTGCCTTGGTCATTCCCACATCAAGGAGAATGAATATTGGATAAAAATCGGGTACCACTCTGGTTCCTCTGCTTTTCTGCCTGTCATGTTCTGTGGTATCATGTTGAGTCTAAAGGAAGAGTCCTCTTCTGCCATGGCCCCAGTGCCCCTGGATCTTATCTCCCTTGAAGAATCACTGGATGGCATTTCAGGGTAATCGCACTTTCTTTTGGGGAAATGTCCCTCTTGCCCAAGGTCTGAGGATATGTTGTTAGTTTTTAGTGTTCTTCCTCATTTTGGTCCAGATTTCACAGCATTTGGCAGGTTTGCTGCATAGTTTTTGGTTTAAGATTGCATTCATATCCTTATTTCATAGGCAACTAAAATATTTTTTTTGTTTTTAGTTCTTTTTGAGATTTTTGAAGAAGGGGAGGGTAAGAATTAATGCCTATACACCATGATCCTTAACCAGAAGTCATTTTGTGCTCTTTCAACTGCATTCTGCAAATTTGTATTCCGCAGTGTAGGAGAGATCATAAGTGCCATTCACCCACCAGGTTTCAGACTTAGGTATGAATTCTTATAAAGCTTATTTAAGTTTCTGTTTCATAGCTTTGTATCTATCACTTTTCTTCCCGTTCTCTTTGACCTACTTCCAGTCTCTAGAATTTTGTGTTTGTTTTGTTTCGTTTTGCCTTTCAGTGTACCCGCAATATTCTTTTTCCCTCTTTGTGGCAAGAACTTTCTTAGTTCTTCGTCTTTTTAGCTCCTCTAAGTTAAGCTCCAAAATTGTCTGGCCTCAAACAAGTAGTGGGTTGATAAGAACCACTACCACCACAGTCACCACACTTATCCTCGCCTCTGTTAATCAAATATTTACTGTATGCCAGTAATGCCACTAAAGCTTGTCCATCTCCTGTCTCTATCCCCTTACCACATTTTATTTTTCTGGAGAATAGTATTTACTACTACCAAATATAATATTATGCATTTATTTTTAGTCTAGCTCTTCTAGTAGGATGTAGCTTCACAAGGACAGGGATTTTGTCCGTCTTATTCACTACTGTATCCATGGGGCCCAGTACAGAGTTGTGTCATCCTTCCAATCACCCAAAAAAGCCAATATAATTGCCTGCAATTTAAATGCAAAGATGTGAAAAATACCTTTTTTACTAAAACTGGCTGCAGAATTATGTTGAGGGCTGCCACTGTATTTGTTCAAGAAAATACTTTGAAAGATATTTTGGGGGTGGTTGAGATTTTGTGATGTCAAAAGAGATGGGGGCAGGAGAAAAGAGAGAAAGTCATTGTTTTGTTATTGGAAGGAAAAGGTGAAGAAATAAAAGAAGAGGAGAGGGAGCCAGAAAGTTAGAGGCTAGCCCTGGGAAACAGCCAAAGAATTCCTAGCACTGCTGTAAGGGAGCTGTCAGCCCTGTACCTCCTGTACAGGCTGTCTGTTTTCCCCTCAGATCTCTCTTCAGCCCCAAATCTTCAGCTCATTTGCTATGCACACAAGTCCCAGGAGGGGGTTTCTGTGGTTCTTATAAAAGGGTCTGGGTTTCCCATCGCAGTCAGAGCCTCAAGAGACAAAACTGTATATATGGGACTGGGAACTGGGAAATCTTTGAGAGGCAGAGGTTTTGGCCTTTTTTTTTTTTTTTTGAGACGGAGTCTCACCCTGTCACCAGGCTAGAGTGCAGTGGTGCGATCTCAGCTCACTGCAACCTTCACCTGCCTCCTGGGTTCAAACAATTGTCCTGCCTCAGCCTCCCAAGCAGCTGGGATTACAGGTGCACACTACCACACCCAGCTAATTTTTGTATTTTTAGTAGAGACAGGGCTTCACCACATTCACCAGGCTGGTCTTGAACCCCTGACCTCAAGTTATCTGCCCGCTTGGGCCTCTCAAAATGCTGGGATTACAGGTGCGAGTCACCTTGCCCAGTCAGACTTTTATTGGCTACAGGATTGTAGTGAGGGTGTTGGTTGGGAAGATGTATTAGTGCAATATTTCCTCTAATTTGAGAGTGGAAGAGGCCACAGTTGACATCTGAGTTTTATGTAAGTAAGGAAAATGAGAGTCAGAGAAATTACACTACTTTCTTAAGGGAACTTAACATATAGAATGCCTTCTTGCTATATAATGAACACACCCAGTTCCTTTCCGCTCAGGGGGTTTCCTCTTACTACGCCTGCAATCCAGAATGTTTTCCCCCAGATCTCTGCATTGCCAGCTCCTTCTTACCTTTAAAATCATCTCCCCAGAGATACTTCCATTTCCCATAAAAACAGTCACCATGATACTTACCCCTGACACACACTCAATCTCTGTCTCCTTACCACATTTTATTTTTCTGGAGAATAGTATTTACTACTATCAAATATAATATTATGCATTTATTTTTAGTCTAGCTCTTCTAGTAGGATGTAGCTTCACAAAGACAGGGATTTTGTCTGTCTTATTCACCACTATATCCATGGGGCCCAGTGCAGAGTTTACAACATTTAGATGGTACTCAATAAAGATTTGATAACTATCCTCAATAAAAATGTATTGCCCTTCTATGATACAGGATACAGTCTCTTGACTTTGTAATTTCAACATTCAAATACAATCCAGTCTACTCGTTTCTAAGCTAATCATGTAAACCACCTGTTTTCTTCAGAACTGAGACAATTATGCATTATACCTGTTCTCACCAACAGCTGTGTCTGATTATTGGCTTACTTTGAAGACAACTTTAAGGAGCTCTTGTTAAGACCCACTGCTACTTCAGTCAAATACTGGTTATCTCAGAAATGGTCTTTTCTCCTGTAGAAAGCTCAGAGCCACTAAGCAGGCCTTCTAAAAGTTACTTCATCAGGGCTAAGGAAGTAGTGATTCTGAGAGCACAGCAGTGTAGGGAAGTGCTTGGAGGGTCTCTGCATCCAGCTGGGTCAAATCCCAGCCCCGTGACCTAGGCAGTCACAGGATCTTCCACAAAGTTCAGTTATGAAGAAAAACTTGCCAAGACCATGTGCAAACAGCATAGCAAGGGCAGAGGATCCAAGTAGAACACCTGGTGAGCTGACCAGCTGAGAAGGGACTCCTGACCAGAGTTTTAATAAAAAAACCAAAGCGTGCATTGAGGGAACAGATGGCAGTCTTGATAGACAAGGAAAGGAATTCAGATTGGATACTGAAAGCCAGGGTGGACTACAGAAAGCATTCATTCCACAGGTGGATTAACCTAGGCTGAGCCAGGTCCTGTCCACACTTGTTAGGTGGGTAAACTCAAGCCAGCTTCATCCTATCTGAACCCGTGTTCTCTTCTGTTCATTGTGATGCTGGTAATCAAAACCTATAGATTCATGAAAGGCTAAACAATGACAAGTAATGTTTGTGAAATGATTCTAAATTATAAAGAACTTTCCTAATGCATATTGCTGATGTCTGGGCCAGAAACCTGGTGGTGCAATAAAGAGCTCCAGGCAGGATTAGAAAGACGAGGGCTTGAATGTCTGCCCTGCCACCTATTAGCTTTATGGCCTTAGGGTGATTATTTATTCCCTCTGAGACTTGCTCTTTCATCTGTAAAAGGGAAATGGATACTTGTGAAGATTTGCTTATATCTAAAGAGACTAGTCAAGAACCTAGCACATCATCTCCACCACCACCACCATTGTCATCATGGCCAAGGTTAGTTTAAGCACTCACTGTCTGCTGCATTGCTCTAAGAGATTCAGGTGCGTGTAGGTAGATATTGTTATTCTGAGGCCTAGGGAGGTTAAGTAATTTACCCGAAGTCACAGATAGGAGTGGTAGAGCTTGGATTAGGACCCAAACAGTTAAGCACAGAATATGGGGGTAGTTTTTGACAATAGTGCAAATCTGCTACCAACGTAGGCCAATTTTTAGAAAGTTCCTTTGTGAAATAACAGACTGTCAGAAGAATCCATGGTTTCTAAAGAATTTGATCATGGAAAAGAGAAATCCCTTAGAATGGTCCCTAGATCCTGATCACCTGCTATTTTTTTAAAAAAGAGTTAATTCTGCTAGAGAATATGTAATTGATTCCACTTCCAGGAAGAAAGGATGTTGAATTAACAATGGAAACTGAAATCCCTACCTCTGAGCTCTTCTCCCCTATTTGTAAAATCCCTGAAAACAATCCTGGTCAGCTTTGGGGTTGTCTGTATCAGTGAAGGAATTCCTCTAAGTCCACCAAGGAGGCAATGGGATGGAGTGAAAACATGATTACACAAGGGAGTAACCTCATTTGCATCCTTGAGAGGGTAAGTAGTTGCAGCCCACAGCAGAGGTTGCTGGTTCACCCAGTGGTGATCTGCTGTTGCATTTCTCCCATCCACATGTGAGGCCATAAATCCATAGGACAGGAAAAAGTTTAGCCCCATGGCTTAAGCTTTAAGCAACTTTCTCTGAGAAATCATATGCCTATTTCTACATTTTTAATCCTTGCTCTCTGGGTCACAGGTCAGTGTCATCAGTGGGTAGAAGCTACCAGTCTGCTCTTAAAAAAGACTTCTCCATTCTTTGGCCAAAGTAGAAAGGCATCTGAAGGGAAAGAAGCACTCCACTTCATCCCAGGATTTTCCCCTTAGATATTTCTCACTTGTGTAAAATACCAGCAGTAATGTTAGACACACACATCTAGCTACAGACCCTTTATCTATGAGCTCCATCCACATCACTTCTGAGGAGCTGCAATAACAATGCTTCAGTCTTTGCCAACTTTGAGACCATGAGGTATTCCTTAAACTTTCATTTTATCATCTTATCAAAATCATTTCTCTGTCTGTGAAATGGGTCTTTAAATTAGCAAGATTTTGAAACACCATATGCCCAGAGAATTCCTAGGAAGAATATTGTCATAAAAATAAAATCACGCTATTTACCAAAAAAAGGTAAAAACAACAGAAACAAAATCAAAAATTAAGGCAATAAACTACATCTATTGGGAAGGACTGGGGGGAGACAGAGGGTCCTTTCTACATGCCTAACTGAAATGTTCTATTAAGTTTTAAGCAATCCTGTTTACAGCAGATATAAATTAAAGTAACAGTGAGGCCATAAAATAGAGCAGCTGTTCTCCGTCTCCACTGATGATAGAACAAGAGAAGAAGGCTGGTCAGAAGTAAGGAAGACTTCTTGGCAGAGATACCTATAATGCTAATGGGGACAGTGAGAAAAGATGGAAGTGTTGAGAAGTCATCTCCTTTGAAACACATTTAAAAGGCACAGATTAAGTGAATTTTACATGCACTTTGAAGTCCTTCACACTTGACCAAATTTCTATAACAGCCTTCCATTTCTCTGTACATTTAGCTATTCTACTCCAAATAAATGGAACTCCTTACCAAAAATGCCACAAGAATACAATTGCACATCTAAGACAATTGTGGAAACTAATTAGCAACTGGTAATCCAAAGTGAAAATGATCAATGATTTCTGTGCTGAAGTAGCTGGGTTTAAGGCCAAAAATTGAGTGATTTAAGGGTTTTCTTACCCCACAGCCTACAAGCCTGCGTGATTTACAGCTGAGTTAACCAGACACACATAATGCCTGGCTCGCACTTGCCTCTACTTGCTGGACTTACCTTCCCTAAAATGCTGCATTTTTAGGGTAATCCAGAGTATTTGCCATGCCCATCAACTCTGCACTATCCCTAATAGCTCCTACCCCACAGGGATTTGGAGGCAGCAAATGGAAGTGCAGGTAATGGGGAAAGAATGTAATATTTGAAATTATGGCATAAATTCAAAGATGTTCTATAAGCCACATTGAATCCTGCTTGTCTAATAAAGTTTGGTTCATCAGAATGACTTAGTCATTTTTGGTCAATTCAGATGTACTATATCTGACAACATTCCAAACTTAATAATTTCTTAAAATTAAAAGACCTCTCAATTTACAAAGTTATCTGAGGGACTTTAATTTTGTTTCTTTTTTATTTGGTTGGTTTATTGCTAACTGATTTTAATACAGTGGTTTTTAGGGTGTGTGTATGTTTCTAGCAAATATAAAAAGAATTATATACCATGACCAAGTGGAATTTATCCCAGTAACTCGAGTGGTTCAACATATAAAAATCAACCTCTCTTATACACTAACTCAGTAAAATGAGGCAAAAACCACATGACTATTTCAATACATGTGGAAAGGGCATTTGACAAAATCCAACATCATTTCATTATAAAAACACTAACAAAATTAGGAATAGGATGGAAATTCCTCAACCTGATGAAGAGAATTTACAAAAAGAAACACAGCTAAATCATTTGTAATGACAAGAGATTAAAAGCTTTTCCTCTAAGATCAGGAATAAGACAGGCATATCCACTCTTGCCACTTATATTTGACATTGTATGGGAAGTTCTGGTCAGGGCAATTAGGCAAGAAAAGAAAGAAAAGGCATGCAAAGTTGGCAAAAGTTGATATTTCAGTTTTGAGTGTGAAAATTGTAGGGCAGGCAAGCAGGCAAAATACAGACAGAATTTCTGCATAACTGTCTTGAGGCAAAATTCCTTCTTCTCAGGGAAACCTCCATTTTTGCTCTGAAGCCTTCACTGATTGGATGAGGATGACTCACATTATGCAGGGTTATCTCTTTTTCTTAAAGTCAATCAACTGTAGATGTAAATCACATCTACAAAATACCTTCACAAATGACTGGGTTCCATAGCCTAGCCAAGTGACACATAATATTTAACCATCATAACAAGGGTACCAAGACAATTCAAAGTGGAAAGAATAGTCTTCTCAACAAATGGGCTGGGACAACTGGTAATCCAGCTGCAAAAATATTAAGTTGGACACCTATCTCACCGCATATACAAAACTTAAAGTGAATCATAGACCTAAAAGTAGGAGCTAAAACTATAAAATTCTTAGGAGAAAATATAGGAGTAAGTTGTGACCTTGGATTAGGGAATAGTTGATCAGAAACACCGGTAGTTTTTAAAAAATAAAAACAGGCATGAGCCACCATGCCCAGCCTGTTTTATGAGTTTGCCTATTGTTGACATTTCATGTAGATAGAATCATACAATATGCGGCCTATTGTATCTGGCTTCTTTCACATGGCATAATGTTTTCAATGTTTGTATATGTTGTAGCATGTATCAGTACTTCATTCTCTTATGGCTAATTTTCCATTGTAGGGGTATATCACTTCTGTTTATCTATTTATCAATTGATGAATATTTGAGTGGTTTTCATCTTTTGGCAATTGCAATATAGATATTAGGAATATTCATGTATAAGGTTTTGTGTGAACATGTTTGCAATTCTCTTGGGTGTATATCTACAAGTGGAATTGCTGAATCATATGGCAATTCTGTGTTTAACTTACTAGGGAATGTCCAATCTGTTTTCCACAGTAGCTGCACCATTTTATATCTCCCCAGCAATGTATGAGAGTTCCAGTTTCTCCACATCCTCACCAACACTTGTTTTATTTTCTTTTATTATAGCCATCCTAATAGGTGTGAAGTAGTATCTCACTGTAGCTTTGATTTGCATTTCCCTGATGGCTAGTGATATTGAGCATCTTTTCATGTGCTGAAAACACTCAATGTTAGATTGTTTAAATACACACATACAAACACCCCCCGACACACACACATCACTAATGTACATGTTATTGACAGCTATTTAACACAGAACCAGCAAATTTAGAATATTTGCTTTCTGTGTGTGCAAAAGAAAAATGCATACAACTCATCTTTAAATCTGATAACTTGAGAACATGTTAGAAATGCAAGATCTCTAGCCCCTCCCCAGATCTACTAAATAAGACTCTGCATTTTTCAACAAGATCCCCAGAAGACTCATATGTACAATGAAGTCTGAGAAGCCCAAGTATATAGGAATTTAAAAGCCAACTGAAAATTTGTGTATCTAATTCAACAGCCATATGAGGGCTAATGACAGTACATACTCCATAGAGTTGTTTTGAGGATCAAATGAACCCATGCATATGAAAATCTTAGAATGGCACCTAGCAGAGAAAGGACCATATAAGTGTTCACTATCAGCATTGATTTGTATTGACTATTGTATTGATTTTGGTTGATTATAGTTTTCTAAGTGCTTTATTATATCTCTTCCTCCTCATAAGAGTTCATTGAGATAGAAGAGAAATATATATTATTTTCCCAATTTTATGGTATAGGAAACTGAGACTCAGAGAGGGTAAATGATGTGCCTACCATCAAATATTACTTTTAATTACCTGTTTTTGCCCCAACTTCCATTACTTTTAATGCCAAAAACCACAATTACTTTTGCACCAACCCAATAGCTAATAAATGGCAAGATTCAAGCCCAGGAATTTCAATACACTGTCCATGCTTCACTTTCAAGTATATATTACAAAGAGTTATTCTGTTGCTGGAGAGAAGTCTTAGCTTAGATTTGCATCTCTCAAAGGTGGAGAGTAAAACCTCAGAGTTTGGTGTTGGTGTTTCAATGTGCCTGTACCATTAAAGGTGGGTCTGAAGATCTGTTTCCACTTTTACTTTTTACAAATTGGCAATATAACTTTTAAAGTACTTTCTCTTTTATTGGAATGGGTCAGAGTATCTACACAGAGGTTGAGAATCTCTGGAGGGTGCAGGCTGGTGAGCATCAGAGAAGGATGGCTACGGCTTCACCTTCGCCCACACTCAGCTCAGCTCACCGTCCACTTCCAGGGTGGTTCTGACCATCATACACAGTTTACAGTTCTGTTTATTCTTAGTCTCACACAATTTAAGTAGACCTTAGTAAATTATTTGCTAAAATCAGGAAGTATAAGGAAAACTCACGTTAAAAACAAGCCAATAACGAGCATGAAAAAGACAAGCACCCTGCGAGTTTCCCTCACAATATGCCAGTTACCAGATGTGATGATGTTCATCTCTTCAAATTCTCATTAAAAAGTCTGCAGGATTTCAAAAACCGGTGTTGAAGAAAGAAACTCTACACACGATCTGGGGGAATGATATTAATGGTGTTAACGGCTGAGTTGTGTCCCCTAAAATAATATGCTGAAGTCCTAACCCCTAGTACCTCACGATGTGACTACATTTGAAGATAGGGTTTTTAAAGAGGTAATTAAACTAAAGTGAAGTTATTAGGTGGGTCCTAATCCAATAGGACTGGTGTCCTTATAAGAAGAAATGCAAGCTAGGCACAGTGACTCACACCTATAGCCCCAGCACTTTGGGAGACAAGGCAGGAGGATCATTTAAGCCCAGGAGTTCAAGACTAGCCAGGGCAACATGACAAAACTTCTCTACAGAAAAAGAAATAGCCAGGCATGGTGATGCATGCCTGCCGTCACACCTACTTGAGAGGACGAGGTGGGAGGATCACTTGAGCCTGGGAAGTAGAGGCTGCAGTGAGCCACGATTGCATCAGTGCACTCCAGCTTGGGCAACAGAGTGAGACTGTGTCTCAAAAAATAAAAGAGGAAATTTAGGCACAAGTACAGAGGGAAGGAAGGGAGGACCATGTGAGGACACAGGGAGCAGGCAGCTATCTACAAGCCAAGGAGAGAGGCCTCAGGAGAAACCAAGCCTGTCGGCACCTTGATCGAGTCCTTCTGGCCTTCAAACTGTGAGAAAATTAAATTCTGTTGTTCAGGCCTCCAGTCTGTTGTACTTCATTAAGGCAGTTCTAGGAAACTCATACAGTATCTAAAATTAGGTGGTGTTCGCTATATTCCAGGTACTTTGACACGTGTTTACAGTGCATTTTCTCATTGAAACATTACACAACTCTCCAATGGATGTTACTACTATCCCGATAGTACCACTGAGAAAGTTAAGGCAAAACTAAGGCACAGAGTTTGCTCTATGTTACACATATAGTAAATGACTATCAAAAACTGGATATGAATCCAGGTTTTCTTTTTTTTTCTTTATTTTATTTAATTTTTTTGAGATGGAGTCTTTCTCTGTTGCCCAGGCTGGAGTGCAGTGGTGCAATCTTGGCTCACTGCAACATCCGCCTCCTGGGTTCATGCCATTCTACTACCTCAGCCTCCCAAGTAGCTGGGACTACAGGTGCTCACCACCATGCCTGGCTAACTTTTTGTATTTTTAGTAGAGATGGGGTTTCACCATGTTAGCCAGGATGGTCTCGATCTCCTGACCTTGTGATCCGCCCATCTCAGCCTCCCGAAGTGCTGGGATTGCAGGCCTCAGCCACCATGCCCGGCCTGAATCCAGGTTTTCTAATTCCACAGACCATGCTGTTACCCATAAATAAGTTTATTTACAACATCCATGTGTCATTTCCAAAGAAGTTGTTTCTTTGGAATTTGTTTTCCAATCTGAAAAAGTCTTTCTGATCTTTCCATTTAGAAATAGAAATATTAAGGGAATCTAGTTTTTGTAAGAATTATATGAAAAATAATATTTCATGGTCAGAAAGTATTTTATAAGAATATTATGAAAAAAGGATATTTCAAGGTCAGGAAAGTATTTTGATGCCATAAAGTTAAATTTCAATCTACGTTTTAATATGCATTCATGACTCAAATTATGTTTTCTGACATAAGCATCAATTGAAAAGTGAGAAAGTAAAAATAAATGATCTTAAAAGTATACGTTATACATGATTTCTAAACAATAGCTTAAAATAAATATTGTAATAGAAATTTCCATATTATACTTCTATCAAGTGAAAAATTTCATAGACTGCATCATATCATATCCAAATAAAATTCATTCGCATTAATTTCACAAATATTTACTGAGCTCTAACTATGCCCCAGGCAGTAGGCTAGGCACTAGGAAGAAAAAATAACAAAAAGATGCGGGTCCTGTCTTAGTAGAGTCTGTTGTCCTTAACCAAATAACTACAGGTAAGCAAGCCAATTCAATCATTGCAAGTTGTAAAAGTGTTAAGAAGGGAGTGGGTCAGGATTGACAGCAACAGCAGGGTAATTTCCTCTAGACACGGTGATCAGAAAAATTTTCATGATACTTAAGCTAAGACCTGAAGGATGAAATAGAGCTGAACTGAAGGCAAGAACATTTTGAGTGAGAATGACTGGTTTTGAGCCACTGTAAGAAGATGGAAGGGTGGTGAGAGAAGTTGGAGAGGTGGCCAGGAGCCAGGTCATGCAGTGAAGGGGTGGCCTGCCCTTCCACACCTGTGGGTATTCTCATCAGGTGGGACGAGAGACTGAGAAAAGAAATAAGACACAGAGACAAAGTATAGAGAAAGAACAGTGGGCCCAGGAGACCAGCACTCAGCATACGGAGGACCTGCACTGGCCCCGGTCTCTGAGTTCCCTCAGTTATTATTATTTTCACTATCTCAGCAACGGGAATGCAGCAGGAGAACAGGGTGATAGTTGGGAGAAGGTCAGCAAGAAAACATGTGAGCAAAGGAATCTGTGTCACAAATAAGTTCAAGGGAAGGTACTATGCCTGGATGTGCACGTAGGCCAGATTTATGTTTCTTTCCACCCAAACATCTCAGTGGAGTAAAGAATAACAAAGCAGCATTGCTGCCAACATGTCTCGCCTGCCACCATAGTGTGTTTGTTCTCCTATCTTAGAATTGAACAAATGTACAATCGGGTTTTATACCGAGACATACAGTTCCCAGGGGCAGGCAGGAGACAGTGGCCTTCCTCTAACTCAACTGCAAGAGACTTTCCTCTTTTACTAATACACCTCAACACAGACCCTTCATGAGTGTCAGGCTGGGGAATGGTCAGGTCTCTCATCCCACGAGGCCATATTTCAGACCATCACATGGGGAGAAACCTTGGACAATACCCGGTTTTCCTTGGCAGAGGTCCCTGCGGCTTTCTGCAGTGCATTGTGCCCCTGGTTAATTGAGAATGGAGAATGGTGATGACTTTTACCAAGCAGACTGCCTGCAAACATATTGTTACCAAGGCACATCCTGCACAGTCCTAGATCCCTTAAACCTTGATTCCATACAACGCATGTTTCCGTGAGCACAAGGTTGGGGCTAAAGTTACAGATTAACAGCATCTCAAGGCAAAACAATTGTTCAGGGTACAGATCAAAATGGACTTTCTTATGTCTTCCTTTTCTACACAGACACAGTAATAGTGTGATCTCTCTTTATTTTCCCTACAATGCAGGGCCTCAGGGCTATCATGAGGAACTCAAAGCATTGGAAAGCCAGAAGGGTGTTAAGTGAGGAGTGAGGACTGATGCCATCAGGCCTGTTTTGGGAAAACACTTCTGCTGCTGTGTAGAGGTAATTGCAGGAAGCCAAGCCCTTGTGGAGAGACTCAGTAAGAGACTCTTGCAACATTCCAGGTGTCAAAGAGTTCACTACAGAAGCAGAAGCAGACATGAAAAGGAGATGAATTTTAGATCTATTTTGCTGGTAGAATTGATAGAATTTGGTAATAGATGGAATATACAAGAGTAGAGGGGATGGTAAGAGAAAGGGGAAAATCAAGGATGACTCCTAAAGCTTTGGGGAAGATGATGGTTGCATCTCCTGAGGTGGAGAAGTGAGTGTATATGTGTGGGGTGGGTGAGTGAGGGGACTGGTGGATGCAGAAGGAGGTAGTCTAGGTCTGCTGCTGGAGACCCATCAAGTCTCAGGCTCCTTCCATTTTTCTGATCCCCCATCTCTGCGCATGGCTATCATCTTCGTTGTCACAAAATGGATGCTAAATTCTAGCCTCACAGTCATGTTTAAAACAGGAAGATAAGAAAGGGAGCAAGATTGTTTCAACCCTCACCTGAAAAAAGAAAACTTTACTGGAAATCCGCACAGACTTCTGCTTATACCTCGTTAGCTAAAACTGTACTCCAAAGCTAGTCCTTCTTGCATGGAATGCTGAAAAGTATAGCATGGAAACTGATAAAATTAAGTCAATTACACCCATCAATAACAAAATCAGGGTTCTCTTATAAAGATGATACAAGAAGGGATATTGGGTAGACAGCCCACAATGTCTGATAGACTGTCCTGTGATTGAGTTAGCCTGCGAATATCAGTAGGCTGAAGGACAAGATGATTTTAAGTTTACTTGGATCTCAATTCTTCATGAGTGAGCAATATGCATAAAGAGCACTGGCAAATCTGGGACTGTCCTCTTTCTGCTTAAAAACAACCTCCAATTTGTCAAAAGAAAAGAACAGTCTTCCATCATTGACCTCCCCACTATCTCCCAACTGTATCCCCAGAACTTTTCTCGTCTCATAGGGATTGTGTAACGTGGAAGCATTGCCACTGGGCTTCGTGTTCTGCCACTAGTATGTTCAGAACAAATGTCCTGAGAGCATGGCGTGGCCAAACTGAATGTCTGCTCTTTTTTGCTGCATATTACCTTTTGATCCTGGCAAGGTGAGTGCTACCTTAGCTCAGTGCAGCCTCCTCACCTTAGTCTCCAGGGCATTCTGGATGACTCTGGTGTATCAGCCAGTTCTCAGCACTTCTCTTTGGGATGCTGCAGCCTTTAGTCTCTGTGCATTATACCTGAACCTTCTCTTCCATGGCAGAAAGCAGGGGTCTGTCTAAACACTGTAGTCCAATATCCCTGTACAAAGATAGACTGTACTCTGCTGGAATTTAATCTGGAAACGTTTAATACATTTGCAGCACAAGTGCCAGCTACTTTAAGAAGAGAGATGATCACCTTTCTTCTCTTAAAGAGAAACTTCTAACTGATATAAATCAACTTCCTCAATATGCTCATCATACCTGATAATGAAAACAGTCCTCATTGAGAGAAATCTGTGGTCTCCTGGGAAGAGCTTTCACCAACAACAAAGAAAAGGGGAGAGAAAGAAGAGGAAAATAATGGGCAGGGGGAGAGGCTCTAACTGTATTGAATAAGAAACCACTCTTTATCTGGAAGAAATTCGCAAATGAGTGCCTTGTCAAGCTACTCTAGTGGAAACAAGAACAATTAAGACAGTGCAAACCATCCCCAAATGCTTGCATTTGGGACTTGCTGAACATCTCAAGCTATTTTCCAAATGCTTGGAGTTTGGCAGAGTCCAGGCTCATGGTGGGAAACTTTCCTGAAGGTCTGTCTAAATGCTCCTATTTTTATTCCATCTCCTTGCAGTTAATATTCGGTTACTTTGCTCCAAATTCGGCATTTGATATATGTTAGATATCTTCAGACCCTGGCTGTGCCCATTCTCCTTCATGTGTTTGCCAGAAATTTCAGAGTATTATTATCGTGCCTGGTTTCCAACGTAGACAGTCATTCCTTCCTCTTTGTCCACCATTCTTGGGGATTAGAAGGACTGTGATGAGAACGAAGAGGGGACCATGATGTGTGTGGTACTGCAGAAAGATTTGGGAATGCTGGCTTTGAGAAGCAAAGACTCAGGGAGAAGCGATAACTGTCTTCACAGTTTTGAAAGAATAGCAGATGGAGAGGGATTAAACCTATTCTCTGTGGCTCCAGAGGGGTGGAGCTAGGACCAGGGGCCTACATGGGCTCTATACAAGAAAGACTTTCTCATTTCAGAGCAGCCAGAAAGAGAGACCTGCCTCTTCTTCACCAAAGGGATAGGTCTTTGTTGGAGGTTTTTAATGATGTACGATTAATTTTTGGAGAATGAAAAAATGATTTAATAAAGCTATTCAAGTAGAGACTGAATAGTTGAATTCAAAGACCTTGAAGTGCCTTTCTTTAAGTGTCGGACACTGCATACCAACACTTACCACAGTGCCTGGCATATAGGAGGTGCTGAATAGTTATTTATTGAATGTGCAAGTAGTTGGTGGGATGAAAAGCTCACAGTGTTATTGGGAGTATCAAACATTGATACACACTTGAAAAATTGGGTCAATAGGAAGGAAGCCCTTGACGTACTAAATGCACCCATCTTTCCTCTGAGCAGGGCCATTGTTTCCTGCCTTTTTAAAGTTTAAAGAAGACAACCTTCCTGACTCTAATTCCTTCTTCAACATTTCACCGAGGCCCAGGTTGAAACTACTCTTTTGCTGCCATCCAATATGGTTTCTAAACTTGCAGCTGAGGATGTAGGAAATAGTGACCTCTAAGTTGGACTAGGCTTAAATGACACTCATATTCCTTGTTGGCCTTCAATGAAATATAAATAAAATCATCATGTTACAGAGCCCACTTGAGGGGGGTCCTGGGTTATGAATTAACACTCAGGCCAACTCTGTTCTTTGAAGTTTGGCTAATCTCCAGCTGTGTGCACTCCAGGAAAAGGTGCCCCTGCAGTGATAGGCTGGTGAGGCCGCCTATCAGGGGAAGGAAAAGCTGCAAGTGTCCTCAGGCAAGGTGAGCAGAACATAGGGAACTCATCATTTCAGCAGAGAGCAACTATGTATTTGGCTTTTGGAGGCAATGAGAGATATTCAAGAGCGAAGTCTGTGAAGTACAGGGAGAACCTGCATCAATTAGGCAACTCTGCTTATCAGTATTATTTCCCTTGAAATCTCACTTAATAGTTATAAGAATACAATAGAATAGGAAGGTACAGCCCTATTTTACAGGTGAGGAAACAGGATTGGCACAGCAAAGTGAGTTGCCTGAGTTCATTCTGCAAATACCAGCAGAGCCGGGGGCAAGCCAGGGTGTTGGCCCCTAGGGCTTTTGTTCTTGCTCTGACATCATGAACAAGAGATATCAACATACTTTCTTTTTCAAGGTTATTTGTCATTATTGTTTGTCTGGGAAATAACCTAACCCAGCCTTTGATCTGAAGCTTTTTTTTTTTTTGAGATGGAGTCTCTATCTGTCATCCAGGATGGAGTGCAGTGGTGTGATCTTGGCTCACTGAAACCTCCGCCTCCCAGGTTCAAGAAATTCTCCTGCCTCAACCTCCCAAGTAGCTGGGATTACAGACATGCGCCACCACACTTGGCTGATTTTTGTATTTTTAGTAGAGACGGGGTTTCACCATGTTGGCCAGGCTTGTCTTGAACTCCTGACCTCAAGTAATCTGCCCACCTGGGCCTCCCAAAGTGCTGAGATTACAGGAATGAGCCACCACACCACCTGAAATATATTTTGCTGCCTAAGATTGTCATATACAGATTTTAAAAACTAAAGGAGGGAGACTGAGCCAGTCATTTCCCAGTATATCCCAGTAGGAGCAGGAAAGGAAACCTCTTCTTCAGGGGAGGAAGCATTATGGGTCTGAGTTTGTAAACAGCCACCTATTCGTGGAGGTCTGAGGTCTGAGCCCATTTCCACCCCATTCCGAAGGTGAGTTCCCACTGCATCCTGAAATTTCTGAGACTTTATTAACTTTGTATGTCTATAAAGCAAGTACCAAATCACTGCAAATTGTACTCCATTAATTAAGAATAATTATTTTTGGTTGAAAGATGAGCCCTATCCCAGACCCACCACTTAACAGCCACATGATCTCAGGCAGCCTACTTTGCTTTGGATGGTCAGTTTCCTCAGGTGTCAAATAGAAGTGGGAGTCCAGATCCCAGTGACCTTAAAGAACTGTCATGGGACCAAATAAGAAAACAAAGCATATGAAAACATTTTGCAACTACAAAAGGCTAATTATAAGAATGAAGTTAGTCACCATTGTTTGTTAATACTTTTCTATGGGAATTAAAACACTTTTGGTTTGAAATTAGAAAAAAAGAAAGCCATAAGCTGAATAGATTGACTGTCTTTACATAAGTTGATTTTTAATAACAGACAATTTTTTATAGTATGCTATGTGAAAATGGAAATTTCATACTGGGTCTCAAGATTTCTATTTGAGATTGAAGGCAGTTTCTTAAAATAAGAACTGACTCCTTCATCAATTAGCTCCAACTAAATTATGCATCTCAAAAGAATCAGCCCCGGGTTCCAGAAACTAGAAAAAGAAAAAAAAGTCTATAGTAGCTTCCAGTTTTTCTTGGGTCATTGGTAGGTGAGCTAGAGAATTTCCATATTTTTTTCTATGAGCATAGCTTCGGAATTACACAAAGTTTAACCCAATTACAGCTGCCACAACCCAGAAGGTAGGGAGGAGAAGGAAGAGGAAAATGAAAGCCAATGGTGAGACCCATCTCATATTTTCCTTTTTTTCCACTAAAGTATATGAGTGTTTCAATGAGAACCTGAAGAGCTTGGGTGAACTCTTGAAGGCTGGCAAGGTGGGGTATCTGAAAGGTGGGAGAGGTGGCCTGTGAACGTTATGGGGGGGCCTTAGGGGTGCTCCAAAACACTGATGGGAAGATGGTTTTCTATCTCATGATCATGCAACACAGATGTGAGCTGAGAAGTTAATTTCATAGTCTTTTTTCTGTTTTTTTTCAATTTAATTGTGTTTTTCTTTCCTCATCCCTGTGATCACTGGGAGATAAGCCTTTTTTTCTTTTTCTTTCTTAATTGACACATAATAATTGTACATATTTATAGGGAATATGTAATATTTCAGTACATGCATATAATGTGTAATGATCAAATCAGGGTAATTGTCATATCTATCACCTCAACCACTTATCAATTCTTTGTATTGGGAACACTCCAAATCCTCTCTTCTAGCTATTTTGAAATACACAATAAATTATTAATTATAGTCACCCTGCTATACTATGGGATACTAGAAGTTATTCCTCCTATCTAACTATATTTTTGTATTTGTTAATCAACGTCTCCCTGTCCCTCTTCCCCACTACCCTTCCCAGCCTCCTGTATTTTACTTTCTACTTCTGTGAGATCAACGTCTTTAGCTCCCACATATGAATGAAACATATGATATTTGTCTTTCTGTGCCTGGTTTATTTCACTTAGAAAAAATACTCATCATGGCCAGGCGTGGTGCCTTACACCTGTAATCCCAGCACTTTGGGAGGCCAAGGCGGGTAGATCATGAGGTCAGAAGTTCGAGACCAGCCTGACCAACATGGTGAAACCCCGTCTCTACTAAAAATAAAAAAAAATTAGCCAGGCATGGAGGTGTGCACCTGTAATCCCAGCTACTCAGGAGGCTGAGGCAGGAGAATCACTTGAACCCAGGAGACAGAGGTTGCTGTGAGCTGAGATCGTGCCGCTGCACTCCAGCCTAGGTGACAGAGGGAGACTCCATCTCAAAAAATATATATAAATAAATAAATAAATAAATAAAATAAAAAGAAAAGAAAAAATACCACCATTAGTAATCATCAAGAAAATGCAAACTGTCAACTCTTGTTTGACAACAATTACCTGAAAGCATTTTGAGAGTAACATAAGCAAACTCAAGACCTTCTACCTGTTGATGAAGCAAACAGTAAATACAGTAAATATAAACTGCCTAATGTTTATACTAAATAACTTGTTTTAAAAATATGCAAGCCGTCATGCAAACATTAAATTAATAATAATAATAAATGTTGGTCATTCATTCCTTCTTAAAACACATCCATTGTTCTACTGTCATAAAACTATCATTTATATTTAATTCATATTTCTTTAACATAAATGATACATTTTGAGCACTCAGAAGTGCTTAGATGGCATCTTTTACTTCAAAATCGCAAAGCATTTTTGGCCACAGTATTTTGTTTTCATAATTATAAATGAATACAGTGACATGCTTTAGGATCACTTAAGTTTGCTCTTTTGGGGACTCATGACGTTAACCACTTCAAACTTTCTTAATGAAATATCATTGACTGAATGAGTAACCAGGTTAGTGACCCTGTCATGAATATATTTTTTGTCCACTGAGGTGTGACATCATGGGGGCCCAAGGAGAAGTTCTGATTTAGGGATTCCTTTCCTGATTCTGAGAGCTGACATCAGAAAATATCCCTAGAGGTAAGGTGGGGAGTGGAAGCAGAAGAGACAGAGATCAAGAATGGAAATCTCATCCCCACCTCCCACCAGCAGTGTCCAGAGAGATGAATAAGAAGATTAACAGCTTCACAGCCCTCTGAAGATGCAGCCAAGGCCAGACCCCCAGAGCCTGGACTTCCACAATACCCCATACAGCCAGGGAGTTTGGGGGCACCATAGCAGGAGGATTTATCTTCTGGGAGTTCCGGGGGAAGTTCTTCAGCTGCTCACCTTATGATGTGAAGACCCTCCCCTCTGACCCCCTCACCTCAGAGTCCCTCCAGCTTTCTGTCACCTGGAGTCTCCCAGCCTGATGGTCCTCCTCAGACTTCTCCTCTCATACCTTGAGCTTGACACTGCTCTGCCCTGCTAAACCTGCATGAAGAACCAAAAAGAACTGTGCTCACTAGAGTTCCTGATAACGTGACTGTCACCACAGAAGGAAGAAGAGTCAGAAAGATTCTATTGGCTCAACCATAGCCTCTTCTGAGTCCCTCATTGTACTTTAAATGGCACAAGCCACATTGGGGATAAAAGGACGCTGAAGAGTAAGAGACAATGTCCACTATTCATGTTCATTACCAATGACGATAATGAGAAGCACAAATTGGAACTCTCTCTAGGATATTTTTTAACTGCCTTCAGATACCCAGCCATCATCACCACCATCCTGCCACTACCATCATCACTGTCTTCATTATCATCATCATTATGATCATCACAGTTCACATGTACTGCGTATCTATTATACATTGGGCAATATTTTAAGCTCTTATATATTTAAATCTTCATAGTAATCCTATGAGGGAAGTACTGTCAACCCCATTTTACAGATGAGGATAGGAAAACACAGTGAGTTTAGGTCATTTTCCCAGCTAGGCAACAGGAGAGCCAGGATCTTAAATCCCAGCTAGTCTGATTCTAGACCTGGAATCAGGGTTCATAGATTCCACTGCTATATTATATTGTCACAAAATACAAATAGATTTTGAACGTTTGATATTATTTTTGCATTTAAAAAAACTTTTCCTTATTCACTATAATATCCAAAAGAGCTGACACTTCGTTTTTCATTATTATTATTGTTGTCATTATTTTAGAAATTTTAGATATAATGTAATTCACTTTTGGAGCAGATTTTCTATATTTGGGTAGAAAGGACCAAAAAGGGCACGTTAATTTCACAAATATAAAACACGTGCTTTTATTTTTCTTGGAGAAAATTGAAGCTATTATAAACCCGGATGTAGATGCTGCAGACCTCTTATTACCTTTAGTTTTGTAATATAAATGGAATGTATTTTTAAGATGACTATATCCTTGCAGAATTAGAGCCTTTTTTTTGCCCCTTAATATGGATGGGAGCCGTGTGGTTGGGATAGCACATGAAGTGTGATTTAAGACTGGATAAGACAGCATTTGGAGGGCAGAGCTCACCATCTGGGTAGTGGCAGGAGTTTCCCGGGAGGAGACGGAAGTTTGCACTGTGGGTCATTCTGTGATAGGAAGAAAGCTGGAGACCAAGCCTGTGAGGTGGAGAGAGGCCTGGAGAAGTTCAGTGGGGGCTGGGCTGGGCTTCTAGGGACAAGTCAGAGAGCTGGGGTAGGGGAGTGGGAGTTCAGAGGTCAGGAATTGGTCTGCAAGCCCTAAATGAAACCTCTGGTGGTATTAACTATGTTACTGTATTAGTCCATTCTCCCACTGCTGTAAAGGCATACCTCAGACTGGGTAATTTAGAAAGAAAAGAGGTTTAATCCACTCACAGTTCTGCGGGCTATCCTGGCTTCTGCTTCTGGGGAGGCTTCAGGAAACATAGAATCATGGCAGAAGGCGAAGGGGAAGCAGGCACGTCTACATGACGTGCCTATTTCATGATAGGTCTCATGAGAACCTATCACAGGACAGCACTAGGGGAATGGTGCCAAACCATTAGAAACCACCCCCATGATCCAATCACCTCCCACCAGGCCCCTCCTCCAATATTGGGAATCACAACATGACATGAGATTTGGGTAGGGACGCAGAGCCAAAATATATCAGTTACTCTCTGTTGTTCTTGGACTATCCTTGTTTTTTCAGTTAAACTCCAGGGCCTTGTCTTAACTGAGCTTTGGACACTTGAAAAACAGGCCAGTCCTCATAATGGGATCCACCAGTGCTCTGGGAACAACTGTGGCTGGGGGCAATAACTAACAAGAACATGCCAGCTCCAGGCATCCCAGAACTTACAACAGTCAGGTGCCCAGTAAAAGAAGGCATGCCTCATTTGAGAAAGAGGCTTGGACTTTGGTAGTCTGAATATTCAAGATTTAATTGACCAGCTTGGCCAACATAGCAAAAACCCATCTCTACTAAAAATACAAAAAGCATTGGCCAGGCATGGTGGTGCACACCTGTAATCCCAGCTAATCGGGAGGCTGGGGCAGGAGAATCACTAGAACCCAGGAGGCAGAGGTTGCAGTGAGCTGAGATCATGCTGCTGCACTCCAGCCTGGGTGACAGAGCAAGACTCTGTCACAAAAGAAAAAATAAAAGATTTAATTACAGGTTAAAGAAGTCTGGGGATAAATTTCAATTGTGTTGAGGTAATTTATGCTGTTGAACAATAGCAGAAATCTAGGTCAATATGTAGTGGAATATGTGGTGCTTCATTTTGCGAATCAAGGATTTCTCAAAATTAAGAAGCAAATAGACCTTTTATAAAAAGGAAAAATTCTTACAGATTCTCAATGCTATATTTTATTATGATATTACTGAAATGTATACAACTATAAATCTAGGTATAAAGTCCTTTATTTCTTATACAACCATAGAACCAAAACAATTCAAAGTTAATATAGACTTACAAAAGCACACTATTTAATTAATAATAGCAATTTAATGGGACTGAAGATGTTATTTTGATAAGCAAAATGACCAAAATGAGGTTTAGGAGTAGAAGTAGGAGGCTTGACTCCAGTTCTACATTTAATTCTGTTCCTGAATTTTGACCTCAGAAAGCTACTGTAGTGAGTATGTCTTAGGACAATTATACTATGAGAAATTGCAAAATTCAAAAGTTTTGTTTTCTAGTTCAGGATAAGCGAACTCAAATTCAATTTTAAAAAGTTCTGTCAGTAAACAAGCCTCAAATGCGAATTTTGTTGATTTGCCATTTGCTGACCTTATAAGGCTGCCTTACATATTCAAAGATGAAGCTACATTGGAGGAATTTTTGAAACCTGCACTTTATGGGAATCTAATGTAACTAACTATGGTGTGAATCAGAAACAGAACATTTTCCATTGTGTATTTCCTCCTCACTGCAAGCTGGTCTGAACAACAAGGCGGTCTGGGTAACGTATCTGTTCACCACATACATGAATACACTACTCACAGCTCAGCGCTAGTTCAGCATGCCTCTATCATCACGGGCATTGACTAGCTCAATTCTCCCACTCCTTTTTCTACTGCAAAATCTACATTCTAGCAGTATGCTATGTCTTTATCTATGCTATGTCTTTATCCTCTCTTTGATGCAAGCCCAAACAGAAACAGAATTACAAATGCAAGCACTGAATTATGTAGTGGTATTTCATGATGATGTGATCATCCAGATGGTGAGTAGAGATCTAACTTTCTTAAAGATTATCATCAAAATGATAACCCCCAAATAAATTCCTGAGTGGAAAACAGCAATCCTCAAGGATATATCCTGGAGCTCTACGTGGAAAACCAAGGAGGTGCTCAGGCTTCCCAGACATGGATGTGAGAACAGGGTAATGATACCAGCTGTGGGACAGGCCTGTCCTGGTATTCCCACCATCTGCTCTGGGTGAAGTCTACCTGCCCTCAGATTCTTTGAAAAGAATTCCGGGTGTCCCAGATGTCTCACCTGAACTCTGAGAAGAAGTTCTCACAGTAGTGTCCTTTTTTTCCTCCTGGCACTTCCCCCTGCACACTGTCTCTCCTGCCACCATGTAAGACGTGATCTGCTTCCCCTTTGCCTTCTGCCATGATTGTAAGTTTCCTGAGGCCTTCCATGCAGAACTGAGTCAATTAAACCTCTTTTGATTATAAATTATTCAGTCTCAGCTATTCTTTACAGCAGCGTGAAAATGGACTAATACCCTTGGAAACTCTTTCAATGCAATTGCTAGAATAATTGTAAGGCTCATCTTGTTTCTCATTCCTCAGGGATCTATCCTTCATTATCCGATGTTCCCTGTCTTGAAAAATAGTTTCATCTAATTTATCAGATTTTTTTAGGTTGTTTCAGGCAGGTAATTTCAGTCCCTATTACTCCATCTTGGCCAGAATTGGAAGTGTCACAGTAGTGGCCTTTTTTTCCCTCCTTTTGCTGTGGCAATGCCTCTGGTCATTGCTTAGGAAGAAAAGCGTCAGTTCTGTCCCTTGGTGCCCATTAATGTCATTACCTCAGCTGCTCCTACTTAGCAAGGGCATCATTGCTGTTGTCTGCTGTCATTGCAATGTCAGTGCGAAGCACTGATGACGTGCTGGTGGCTGAGCTGAGGTGGTGGGACCTGCAAGTTCCTCTGCAGTAGCTGCCATTGGTGATGCTGATGCCTCAGCTTCTTTGTATCTTATGGGAGTTAATGGAGAAACAACTTTCCCAGTTGCTGTAGGGCCTAGGCTGGAGACTAGGCCAGATTTGAGCTGTATTTCCAGCTTTCCCAGTAGCTCTAAGGCCCAGGCTGGAGACTAGGCTGGATTCAAGCTTTATTTCAAATTACTGCTCCCTTCTAATAGGCCCATACTCTTCTTAAACAAGGTGGTAGACCACAGCTGTCTTTACTTTTCGACCTTTTTAGTCTCAGGTGGTCCTTTCACTCTTCCATGTAAGCAGAGCTGCTCTGAGACACTGCCTCTTGCAATCCACCAAATGCACCCAAACAGGCCTGAATCCACAGGTGACCTCACTGAGGTTCGTATTAGTGAAGTAACTCTTTTTGACTATATTTTCTTATTTTCTGTATTTCTGATGCTCTGACATTTGGGGTTCAACTGACCACGGAGAGACTGACCTCCCAGGGTTAACAAATTCCTAGAGATAGTAAACATTTGCCTTGGAGCATGTCTTTGATGTGCAAGCCGACCAATCCTGAGTCTATACTCACACCTGCCCCTTTACCTGGCTCTTACATTCCAAGAGGGCAATATTCCTCTGCCTTAAGCATCCCAGGGCCAGGGACGACACAACAAGGAGCCACTCAGATAGGCTAGAGCTTGCAGAGATTATTCAAATCCCCTAAGCCTGCTCAGCTGCGTACCTTGCTTCATTCATTCTTTCCATTCTTTAAAGTCTTGTTTTAAAGATTTGTTAGGCAGGGCCAGAGAAATGTAGTCTAGAGATAATTATACTCCCCACTGTGGAGGTAAGATTTCTGAATAATCTACCCAGGCCCTGTGAATTGTGAAGATTTCCAGTTTGGCTGGTTTTCTTTCCATGAAAACCACAAGCAAGGTTTTGCCTATGTTTTCTCCTGGATCCTTCTGCCTCCTGACCAACGCTGGTGCTTCCCCGTGTGGACCACTGTGACATGGCATGACCTTCTTGGGAGCTGTAAGTTACAAACTATCTTTTTAATGGCCATTGTCTCCTGATATTTTGGTATCACTATACCTGAATAATATCAAAATTCCAGGTACAGTTTAAAACAACAGGGAACCTGCTAGGGTTGCCGAGAAGGATGGTGAGCTCCTAAGAACAGGGGCCTCGTTTCTGTTGTCTTTAAATGCAAAGACCCAACATAGCATTTTGAGTTGTTGTAAGCCTAAATCGTGCTACCAGGGTCAACAAGGTGGGCCCTAACATACTTGTACAATTACAACTTCTGAACAAGGCAATCCAAAATAAAAACCATGCTGGGTCCACAAATCTAACATGGAAATGAAGATTCCCCATTATTAGGGTAGAGGGACAGGGCTGCAAGATGTGTGGTCATCTCTGCAATCATCCACAAGAACAAAAATCACTTTCCTCCCTGAATAAAAGGAAAAACAAAGTTTAGAATCCATAGGAAAGAAATAATTGGGTTTTGGTATATAATCTGATGAATCATGTATCATATTAAGTTCTACATTACTAGCAATGTTGTCACTGATGAGTTTCCAGTGGTTTTAAACATGTTATCAAATTCTTCAACACTCTTCACATCAAGAGGTGTTGTGTGTTTCTCCTCCTCTGGTATTTTCCTGCTGCTTTGCATAACTGGTATACTTTGATTGGATGCCAGACATTGTGAGTTTATCTTGCTTGGTGCTGGATATTTTTTTATTCCCCATAAATATTCCTGGGCTTTGTTCTGGGACACAGTTGAGTTGTTTAAAAAAATTTTGATCCTTTCAAGTCTTGCTTTAAAGATCTGTTAGACAGGGCCAGAAAAATGTAGTCTAGAGATAATTATTTCCCATTGTGGAGGGAAGACCCTTCTGAATAATCTACTCAGTATCCTGTGAATTGTGAAGATTTCCAGTCTGGCTGGTAGAAGTAGGCATTACTATCAGCCTGGTGTGAGTGTGAGTAGGTTCCTTCTAATCCTTTCAGATAGATTTTCCCCAGCTGGCTTTGAGTAGTCTTTCCACACGCAGGTGCTGGTCAGTACTCTGTCGACTTGAAAGGGCCCATCTAGAGATCCCCATGGTTCTCCCTCATGCAGCTCTCTCTCCAAGACCCTGTCCTATCAGCTCAAGTCTCCTCAGACTACCAAATCTATCTCCTCAATTCAGGTAGTCTGTTAGGCTCTTCCTGGGCTACCCCTCCCTGTGATGTTGCTTGGTGATAGAGTATGGCGGTGTCCCCAACCCAAATCTCATCTTGAATTGTAATTTGAATTGTAATCCCCACATTTCGAGGGAGGGACCTGGTGGGAGGCGATTGGATCATGGGTGTGGTTTCCCCCATGCTGTTCTCGTGAGTGAGTGGGTTCTCAGGAGATCTGGTTGTTTGATAAGTATCTGGCACTTCTCCCTGCATGCTCTCTCTCCTGCCACCATGTAAGTCTTGCCCTGCTTCCCCTTCACCTTTTGCCATGATTGTAAGTTTCCTGAGGCCTTCCCAACCGTGCAGAACTGAGTCAATTTAGCCTCTTTTATTATAAATTATCCAGTCTCAGGTATTCTTTATAGTAGTGTGAAAATTGACTAATACACCTGGAAACTCTTTCAAGGCAATTGCTAGAATAATTGTAAGGCTCACCTTGTTTGTTTCTCAGCCCTCAGGGATCTCTGTCCTTCGTTATGTGATGCTCCTTGTCTTGAAAAATATAATTTCATATTATTTATCAGAATTTTGTTAGGTTGTTTCAGGCAGGTAATTTCAGGCCCTATTACTCCATCTAGGCTAGAATTGGAATTTCTCAAACAGTTTTTTTGAAACAAGTTCTTACTCTGTCACCTAGGTTGAAGTGCAGTGGCACAGCCAGAGCTCACTGCATCCTTAAACTCCTGGGCTCCAGTGATCCTGCTACCTCAGCCTCCTGAGTAGCAGGGACTACAGGTGTTCTTCATCACACCTGGCTAATTTTTCTTTACTTTTCTTTTTGTAGAGATGGGGTCTTACTATGTTTCCCAGGTTGTTCTCAAACTCCTGGGCTCAAGTGATCCTCCCACCTAGGCCTCCCAAAGTACTGGGATTACAAGTGAGAGCCGCTGCACCTGGCCCCAAACTGTTTAAAAAAGTAGGAGTTGCTGTACAGGAGTGGCTATTCCTCTACATCCTTACCAATTCTTTTTTTTTTCAGACTTTCTATTTTTTTAAAGGATTAACTAGTTCACACAAGGGATTTAATGTGCCTTTCCTCCCAGATTCAAATTAAAATTAATGCAGATTTAGATTAAAATTAAAAGAGAGACGACAATATTTAAGCTAAAGGAATAAATCTTCAATCATGATATTTCAGGCAGGAGGGTACCAGATGGGAGGAATACACCAGGACCAGGGGAATTTAGTCCAACATCCTTTGCCATTGGAGTATTTCTATTTGTTTACTTTAAACAAATGAGTAAAGCAAAGTCCTTAACTCATTAAAACTAATGGGACTGTGAATGGAAGTAAAGTTTAATGCCTAGTATAAATCATAGAATACTTCAAGCACTTAATTTCATGAATAGAAAGTACTCTAGAGAGTCTTGACTAAAATTTCCTACTCATAGTCCAGAGAAAGACACAAACATTAAGTGTCTGCACACACACAGGGTATTCTGGGTCAGAGGAGCAGCATCAGCTGCCACTTGGGTCATGTTATGAAGCCCCCTTCCTCTCCAGGGACTGTGTTGCCACACTTACAAGCATTTTAATTGTCTCTGAAAATGGCCATATTCTCCAGAGAAAACTGAAACCTGCATTCAGCTCTCTGGAAGAAATCTAATTATCTTGAAATTACTGAATTCTCTAGGTGAGTTCTTCTGGATAAACAGGATCCTTATTTTTACTTTTTTTTTTTTAAGAAAGATGGTTTGGTATTACTCGTAATAGACTGTTCTGTGCTCCCCCTCTCACTTTGGTTCAATGAGAGAAGCAGTGGAATTCTTCAATGCCTCCTCTACCCCTGGCCTTTATCAAACTGTGTAAACACCCAACACTGCGTATAAGTATTTGTTTTTTTTTAAAGCAAAGCTTTGGTAGTGAGCATATTCATTAAACTATAAAAATGTCTCTATAATCTTCTTTTATTTAGCTCTTAGTATTTCTACATCCATAGTCTTCATTCTGAAATAACGTTTGTTTTGTGGTTGCTGGTAGATGTGATGAAATGATCTAAAATCTGCATTCCACAATGCTTTACAACAGACCAAAATAGCATTCTTGTTCATGCTAAGATACCCCAGTGCTGGTGCTCACTCCAGCTAGCTAGAAAACAGCTAGCGGTTAGTTCCTGAGTGCGAAAATAGAGTCTTTATGGCTTCAAACTTGCTCCTTCTAAGGAAGAAACAAAGCTGCTTCATGCTCCCATTTTTCTTGGTCTAACGCAAAGGGTGAACTTCATGAGAAGTGGGAGACAAGAGTAGCCACACCCTTGTTTCTGGAAATCAAATCATCTTACTCCCTTGCAAATATGAATTCCAAGAGTTCACCGACAAAATTAAGTAATGTTTTCCATCAGAGATCTTTATTTTGGAGGCTGTAAGACCCAAACTGCCAACACATCTTCTATGTAATAGGCTGTATTTTGAAGTTTTTCAGATTTTTTTAAAGGATGGTAATTTATAATTTTTATGTATGCCTCAAGAAACATTTGCAGCAAAAGAGGTAGTTCAAATTTGGTTGACAGTAGTAGAGTTTTGTCTCCCACTAATTACTGATTAAACATCAGGAATGAAACCGAGGGTCGAGGGATATATTTAAAACAACTGTTAGGTCTCATTCAGTATCAAACTTGCCTCTGAGAAAACTTCCCAAATCCCAAAACAGGAAAGATCTTAAAAATGACTTCTCTAATCATGGCATCTCCTTTCTTCATGAGAATTCAGCACATTTCAAACTTGGTTGCAGAGTCTTGTATTAGAATGAAACTACTCAGAATCTAATAGCCACATTCTTGTTGTTAAACGAATTTGGAAGCTACCATATCACTCACTGCCTTCCTCCCACCATCTGGAAGAAAACTTGGGATCAACTCCAATGTATGCTTCCCTTTAGAAGCACCTCCTGCCCGTGTCCATGGTGAGATGCTTTCTTCAGGCCCTAACATCAGGCCCCAGTGGGTCTCCCTGTTTCCTGTCTGTCTTTGTTCCCAACTCCACAGTGCTGACAGGTTGACCTTTCAGAAACAGAAACACACAGCACTGGACCACTTCTATGCTCACAGTATGGCCCCATTTCCTTCTAGTTTGGCTTTCAGATGGCCTTCTGTGGGGAGCCTGAGGGGCTGAGAAGATTGAATCCCAGGCTCCGTCTTTCAACTTCTAAGAATCTGCTCTGCATCCATCTCTTTTACACTTGAAGGCTTGAATTTTTCATTGAAAAGGAAGCATGTTGATCAAAACCAAACAATGAAACCTACAAACCACTGGCTTCAAGATAAAACCCTAATTCCTTACAATGGCATAGAAGGCCCTCCTCCATGGAAAGCCACATCTGCCATTTCTCCTGGCAACTTCTGCTCCAAGCTCTGAGTCCCTTGATGAGCCTCCGATACACCAAGATTTTGGTACTCCTTAATGAGACTACCTTTCTGATCCTCCCACCCTAAACAACTCCTACTCAATCTTGAGGACACAGCTCAATTGTTACTTCCTCACTGAACCTTCCTCGACTTCCATCTTCATGCTCCCCAGTACTAAAATCTTGCTTTCTTTTTTGTTTGTTTCATTACAATCTTCTACAATCTCATGTGTGTTTTTTCTGGGACCATATTCATCTTTTTATCACTGGCATTGAACACAGCTTTCTTGGCACATAGCAAGCATTCTCATGCTAATTAACACTCTCATGTTGCATGCCATTAAATCTTTTCTCTATCACCTTTATTAATGTTTGTGTATGAGACTTTCCAAATGTAACCTTTAAAAACAGAAAATCAAACAAACAGAGAAACCCGTTTAAAATACATGTAATAGAAAAATAAAAGAAACTTTGGAAAGCGGGAAGAATGTAGGACTGACTGAAGGGAACTAAGAACCATAGCTGATTCACTGAATCTAAACTAACAGTTTTGAGTTTTGTGAAGGTCGGCTACTTGTGCACATGTGGAAACTTTCAGGGGCTTGAAAGCACCAGAGTGAACTGGATTTGGAGGCTGAGACTAAAACTTCTTCCCTTTATTTTATGTACAAGTAAGCCTCACTAATTCAGACTAGGGGATGGGACAACTGTTCAAATTAATGAAATTCTATATTATGGAATGCTCTAAATGTAATTGCTTTTTTGACACTTTAGACTTAGTTTACATAAGCACAGCATCATTTATAATGTGCACATTCATATGCAAGTTAACTTGTTGATCACTTAAGAGTTCAGTCTCAGGCCATTTGTTTGTATCATTAATTCCACTACAAACATTATTTTTCAAAGTTCAACTTCATGATATTTGTTCAGATGATCACAATTCTGATCTAGGGTCTTATGAATTAATAACATTTAAATTGTCATATTTCAGCAAATATGCATTAATCATAGTATTCCTGAGACTAGAATGAAAAACTGGGCTAGAAAGAGGCTGCTCTGTACTCTCTTCATGTTTCCAAATTATTTTCATGGTGAATTTAGCCAGTTTTCCATGGCTCATGAAACTCCAAGCTGGCTTGAGTTTCCTGGTTCCTTCTTTGGCAGGACTGTATCAAACCTTTTCAAGAGATGTGTTCTTACTTTGGAGGGAAAGGAAATATCAGATCCAAGCCATTCTACATGCACCAGATGCCAAGCACCAAACAAAAGCAGCTCAGCTTTTCAAAGATTTGCTATCTTAACTGTAGCCACTTGAGTCAAGACTTGGTCCCCAGAATGGCCAAGTAAAATAAGGCAGAATTAGGGCTAAATTGATCTCCACATCTACTGTTCATAAACCTGCATAAAAAAGTTCTGAAACAAAGAAAATAAATTGAAAGTGTGTAATGCTTGTTAACATCCAGCAGAGCTGTGTGTTTTGGAGAGGCCACATGTGGCTTATTTTTGCAGTGAAAACTGTCTCTTCTCAGTGGAGGCTGAGTTTGGGGCTGCTTATGGTGATGGAGGTAAGAAAATCCTGAAATTCTAGAAGACAGCCCCTCAGTAGATCACTCACTTGGAATGCTTCTCTCTAAATGAAGAGGAAGAGGGAAGAAGTCTCACACAGATGCCTTGAAAGTCATCAGAGTGGCTTCAGGAAGGGAAACATGGAAGATCCACTGTCTCTTCTGTCACTAGATGCTCATCTCAGACACAAAGATACAGAACTGTAAAGAAGGAGACAGGTCATTTAGGTCTCACAGGTTGGCAGAATTTCAGGCCCTAAGTAGAGGAAACATGGCTGCTAAGGTCTGTTAAGTGGGAGGGAGTTGTATGGAGGAAAGGGTTGCCTTTCTAGCAACTACAATTAGATACAGTAAACGCCTTTTGACTATAGGTGACAATAGTCCCCTTTACCTGAGAACTATCTCCAGACAACAGTAGGACTTCCCATTGCACAACTCCACTGGGTATCATGCACACACAACAAAATATGAGTAGTGCCCCTGGAGGTGTGCAATGAAGAATTCTTGCTCAATAGCCTACTCTGGAACAGAGGACCCTACCTCCCCCGCTGCAGTTGGTTGAACCAGGGATAAACCCTTGACCATACTGAGCCAATCAGGTCCATCAGATCATCTCTTTTAGGATTTGGAATTTGGATTGAAAAACTTCCAATTAATTCAGGCTGTTTCCTTATATGAAGATAAGGCAAACTTTAGTCATCTGGAGCAGGGTGTGCGTATGTGTTGGGGGGTGGTTGGAAAAGGGGGATCTTCTACCTGCAGTTGCATATTCTGTAGAGGGGAAATAATATAAGCAACAATCAGAGAGAAGTAGCAGTAAGAGATAGAGAGAAGGCCCTACCAAGGCTCCTGACAACTTTTCCCCTCCTAGCTGCAGACCTCTCCTGAGGTCCAGCTGCATTTATGTTCTTGGGTTTCATAAAGTGCCTCTGTCCTTAAAACAACTATTGCTCAAACTCACATAAGTTGCCTGTGGTTACTAGCAATCTGAGAGTCCAAAAAAATTCAGAAAAAAATAGTCACTTATGGTAAAATTGGCCCCTGTTTCTAGGAGACTCTGTCCTTCGTTTTAATTGATGCTAGGCCCAGGTAGGTATAAATGCAAAAAATATCTATAAAGGCAGGCCATATATAATATTGATTTATTTTTAAGGACTCCTAAGAGCAGTCAGATTAACAGCATAATCCAATCCCGAAGTTAATATTTCTCTTTATGGTAAAGTTATTCAAATTCAACCTGTGAACTACTAGCTGAAATTTCAGCCTCTTTCGTAATGGTTCTCACGGAGGTGAATCTGGATAATAAATGAAAAACAGCCACTGTCTGGATAATAACTGTAAGTAATCCACTCCACTCCACTCCACTCTGCTCCACTTCATTCCAATCCATTGCATTCCATTCCATTGCAATCCAGTCCACTCAACTCCACTCCACTCTACTCGACTCCACTCGAATCTAATCCATTCCATTACATTCCACTCCATTCCATTCCACTGCACTCCAATCCATTCCATTCCACTCCATTACATTCCACTCCATTCCATTCCACAACATTCCATTCCACTACACTCCATTCCACTGGATTCCATTCCATTCCATTCCATTCCACTCCAGTCCATTCCACTGCACTCCATTCCATTCCAATCCATTGCATTCCACTCCATTCCATTCCACTCAATTCCATTCTTTTCCATTCCACTCATTCCATTCCACTCCATTCCATTCCATTCAACTCCATTCCATTCCACTCCAGTCCATTCCATTCTACTCCAGTCCATTCCACTCAAATCCAATAGATTCCATCCCATTCCACACCAGGCCACTCCACTCGACTCCATTCCATTCCAATACATTCCATTCCACTCCACTATATTCCATTCCACTCCATTCCATTCCATTCCACTCCATTCCACTCGACTCCACTCCACTCCATTCCACTCAAATCCACTCAATTCCACTCCACTCCATTCCATTCCCATCCAATCCATTCCACTCCCATCCACTACACTCCATTGCATTCTGCACCACTCCATTTCATTCCGCTCCACTCCATTCCACTCCACTCCACTCCATTCCATTCCAATCCACTCCATTCCACAACACTCAATTCAGATAAACTCCATTCCACTCCACATAACTCCATTTCATTTCATTCTATTGCATTCCACTCCACTTCACTAAACTCCATTCCACTCCAGTCCACTCCATTCCATTCCACTCCATTCCATTGAATTCCATTCCATTCCACTCCACTCTTTTCTACTCATTCCATTCTGCTCCTTTAGTTTGCACTGCACCCATTTGACTCCATTCCACTCCATTCCATTCCACTCCATTTCCTTCCACTCAACTCCATTCAATTCTACTCCATTACACTCCACTCCCTTCAATTCCAATCCATTACATTCCATTACTTTCCACTCCACTCCATTCCATTCCACTCCACTCCATTCCGCTCCACTCCACTCCATTACATTACATTCCGTTGAAATCCATGCCATTACAATCCATTGCATTCCACTCAACTAAATTCCATTCCACTCCACTCTGTTCCATTCCAAACCATTCCACTGCATTATATTACACTCCACTCCACTCCATTCCATTCCACTCCACTCCTTTCCACTCCATTCCACTCTGCCCATTCCATTCCACTCCACTCTACTCCGCTCCACTCCACTCCATTCCTTTCCACTCCATGGCATTCCGTTCCACTCCATTCCTCTCCACTCCATTAAACTCCTTTCCGCTCCATTCCATGCCATTCCATTCCATTACTTTCCCTTCCGTTCGATTCCATTCCACTTCATTCCATTCCATTCCACTCAATTTCATTCCATCCCAACACAATCCAAGCCACTACATTCCACTTAATTGCACTCCATTCCATTCCACCAGAACCCAAACCACTCCATTCCACAGCACTCAACTTCACTCCACGCCACTCCACTCCACTCCACTCTGTTTCATTCCATTCCATTCTAAATTCATTCCATTCTACTCCTTTCTTTCGACAGGATCTCACTCTCTCTGCCAAGCAGGAGTGCAGTGCACAATGTCAGCTCACATTTCATTTAACGATTCCATTCCATTCCATTCCTTTCCGTTCCAATGCATTCCATTCCACTCAACTCCACTAAACTCCACTCCATTCATATCCATTTCTACCCATTCCATTTCACTCCACTCCATTCTACTCCACTCCACTTCACTCCTTTCTATCCCATTCCATCCCATTCCATTCCACCCCATTCCATTCCACTCCACTCCACTCCATTTCACTCCATTCCATTCCACTCAACTCCATTCCATTCCACTCCATTCCATTCCCTTCCACGCCATTCCACTCCATTCCATTACCCTGCATTCCATTCCACTCCTCTCCATACCATCCCATTCCACTCCATTCCTTTCCACTCCATTGCACTCCATTTCATTCCATTCGATTCCATTCCATTCCATTCCATTCCATTCCACTACACTCCACCCCACTCCATTCCATTACAATAGATTCCATTACACTCCATTCCATTCCACTCCACTCCACTCCATTCCACTCCATTCCATTCCCCTCCATTCTGTTCCACTCCATTCCATTCCCCTCCATTCCATTCCGCTCCTCTCCATAACATCCCATTCCACTCCATTCCTTTCCACTCCATTGCACTCCATTTCATTCCACTCGATTCCATTCCATTCCATTCCATTCCACTCCACTGCACCCAACTCCATTCCAATACATTCCATTACACTCCATTCCATTCCACTCCACTCCACTGCACTCCATCC
>NT_187390.1:0-42811 GCF_000001405.40 Homo sapiens | reverse complement strand
GATCCTGTCATAAGAATGGAAAGGAATGGAATGGATTTACAATGGAATGTAATGGAATGGAGTGGAGTGGAGTGTCGTGGAGTGGATTGGAGTGGAGTGGAACGGAATGCTATGGATTGTTATGGAATGGAATTCAATGGAGTGGAGTGGAGTACTGTGGGGTGGAGTGGAGTGGAGTTGAATGGAGTGGAATGGAATGTGATGTAATGGAATGGAGTGGAGTGGAGTGGAAAGGTGTAGAATGGAATGGAATGTAGTGGAGTGGAGTGGAATTGAGTGGGGTGGAATGGAATGGAGTGGAATGGCATGGAGTGGAATGGAGGGGAGTGGAGTGGAGTTTACTGGAATGGAGTGGAATGGAGTGGAGTGGATTCGAATGAAATGGAGTGGAGTGGAGTGGAATGGAATGGAATGGAGTGGACTGGAATGGAATGGAGTGGAGTGGAATGGAGTGGAGTGGAGTGGAGTGGAATGGAATGGAATGCAATGGAGTGGAATGGAATGGAATCGAATGCAATGGAGTGGAATGGCATGGAATGGTGAAATGAAATGTTAGCTGAGATTGTGCACTGCCCTCCAGCCTGGGTGAGAGAGTGAGATCCTGTCGAAAGAAAAGAATGGAATGGAATGGATTTAGAATGGAATGGAATGAAATGGAATGGAATGGAATGCAGTGGAATGGAATGGGGTGGAATGGAGTGGAGGGGAATGGAGTGGAGTGGAGTGGAATGGAATGGAAACGAATCGAATGGAATAGAATGAAATCGAATGGAATAGAATCAAATGGAATCGAATGGAATCGAATGGAATCAAATGGAAAAAATGGAATCGAATGGAATTGAATGGAATCGAATCAAATGGAATCGAATGATATCGAATGGAATCAAATGGAATACAGAGAACTGGAATGGAGTGGAGTGGAATGGAGTGGAATGGAATGGGGTGGAATGGAATTCAAGGGACTGGAGTGGAGTGGAATGGAATCACATGGAACGGAATGGGAAGGAATGGAATCAAATGGAGTGCAGTGGAGTGGAGTGGAATGGAATGCAACGGAATGGAATGGTGAAATGAAATATGAGCTGAGATTCTGCAGTGCAATGCAGCCTGGGTGATGTAGTGTGATCCTGTCCAAAGAAAGGAATGGAATTGAATGGATTTAAAATAGAATGTAATGTAATGGAGTGGAGTGGAGTGGATTAGCGTGGAGTGGAGTGGAGTGGAATGGAATGGAATGGGAAGGAATGGAATTGAACAGAGTGGAGTGGAATGAAATGCAATGGAATGGAATAGAACTGAATGGTGCAATGAAATGTGAGCTGAGATTGCGCACTGCACTCTAGCCTGGGAGAAAGAGTGAGATCCTGTCGAAAGAAAGGAAGGGAATGGAATGGATTTAGAATGCAATATAATGGAATGGATTTAGAATGGAACGTAATGGAATGGAGTAGACTGGAGTGGAGTGGCGTGGAGTGGAGTGGAACGGAGTGGAGTGGAATGGAAAGGAGTGGAAGGGAAAGGAATGGAGTGAAAAGAAGTGAAATGGAGTGGGGTGGAATGGAATGGAATGGAATGGAATGGAGTGGAACGGAATGGAATGGAATGGAATGGAGTGGAATTGAGTGGAATGGAATGGAATGGAATGGAATGGAATGGAAATGGAGTGGAATGGAATGGAATAGAAGGGAATGAAATGGAGTGGAGTGGAATGGAGTGTATGGAATGGAATGGAATGGAGTGGAATGGAATGGAATGGAATGGAATGGAATGGAATGGAATGGAATGGAATGGAATGGAATGGAATGGAGTGGAGTGGAGTGGAATGGAATGGAATGGAATGGAATGGAGTGGAATGGAATGGAATGGAATGGAGTGGAATGGAGTGGAATGGAGTGGAATGGAATGGAATGGAATGGAATGGAATGGAATGGAATGGAATGGAATGGAGTGGAGTGGAGTGGAGTGGAATGGAATGGAATGCATTGGAATGGAATAGAATGCAATGGAATGGAATGGAATGGTGAAATGAAATGTGAGCTGAGATTGTGCAGTGCAGTGCAGCCTGGTTGATAGAATGAGATCCTGTTGAAAGAAAGGATTGGAATGGAATGGATTTAGAATGGAATGTAATGGAATGGAGTGGAGTGGAGTGGCATGGAGTGGAGTGGAGTGCAGTGGAATGGAGTGTTATGGATTGTTATGGAACAGAATGTAATGGAGTGGAGTGTATTGGAGTGGGGTGGAATGGAGTGGACTGGAATGGAGTGGAATGGAATGGGATGGAATGGAATGGAGTGGAGAGGAAAGGTGTAGAATGGAGTGGAATGGAATGGAGTGGAGTGGATTGGAGTTGAGTGGAGTGGATTGGAGTTGAGTGGAGTGGATTGGAGTGCAGTGGAATGGAGTGGAATGGAGTGGAGTGGAATGAAGTGGAGTGGAGTGGAGTGGAATGGAGTGGAATGGAATGGAGTGAAATGGAATGTAATTGAATCAAATGAAATCAAATGGAATGGAATGGAATGGTATCGAATGGAATCAATTGGAATGCGGTGAAGTGGAGTGGAATGGAGTGGAATGAAGTGGAATGGAATGGGGTAGAATGGAAGTGATTGGAGTGGAGTGGAGTGGAGTGGAAGTTAGTGGAGTGGAATGTAATGGGGAGGAATGGAATTGTACAGAGTGGAGTGGAATGGAATGGAATGCAATGGCATGGAATGGAATGGTGAAAAGAAATGTGAGCTGAGATTTTGCACTGCACTCCAGCCTGGGTGACAGAGTGAAATCCTGTCGAAAGAAAGGAAGGGAATGGAGTGGATGTATTATGGAATGTAATGTAATGGAATGCAATGTAGTGGAGTGGAGTGGATTGGAGTAGAGTGGAATGGAGTGGAATGGAATTGAGTGGAGTGGAATGGAATGGAATGGAATGGAATGGAGTGGAATGGAATGGAATGGAATGGAATGGAATGGAGTGGAATGGAATGGAATGGAATGGAATGGAGTGGAATGGAATGGAATGGAATGGAATGGAATGGAATGGAATGGAATGGAATGGAATGGAATGGAGTGGAATGGAGTGGAGTGGAATGGAGTGAAGTGCAGTGGAATGGAGTGGATTGGAGTGGAATGGAATGGAGTGGAATGGAGTGGAGTGGAGTAGAATGGAGTGAAGTGGAATGGAACGGAATGCAGTGAAGTGGAGTGCAGTGGAGTGGAATGAAGTGGAATGGAATGGGGTGGAATGGAATTGAATAGCGTGGAGTGGAGTGGAGTGGAATGGAGTGTAGTGGAATGGAATTTCGCCGTAGATAAAAGCTAGTATTTCCGCCTACCATTGAGTGTACTTATAGCTAACCAAAACGGCACTCTGTCTCGGGAATACAGATGTGCCTAGAGGTATCCTATTGCAGTCAAAGAAAGAGCAATGAGGGATAGAAAAGGTTAGTGATGGAGACACCGAAGCTGCATTTTGCAAAAAACAATGTAAAACTTTACGGATAGGTTCTGCTAACTTACTACAGTTTCCATTCCTCTCAGGTGGCAGAATTGTTGAGTTTTTTCTTAAGATAGAAAAGCAATTCAGATAATCTGAAATCTCCACAAGAAGGATAAGAAGCACAAGAGAAACTATTCTAGGCAGGAAGTCAATCCTTTCAACTGTCTGTGCTCCATAGAAACAATTGTCTGCACTGGGAGTCATATGTGGTACAGACAAGAGCCAGACCTCTGATCCTCTCATTTGTGATTTCAGAAGAAATTACCAGTCAACTGAGTAATTCACTGACTAAAGTATACATTTGGCACTGAAAGAGGTTAGACGGATAACTATTTGTATCACCATATTCATGAAGCTGGAATATTTTGCATTACTCCTATCACATCCGAATGGAAGATTTTAAAAGCTCTCTCATCTTGTAAGATGGATATGAAAGAACATTTTCTGAGAAATGTAATTATTAACACACCTGCGAGGTGGATGGGAAAGAAAAAAAAGAATAATCAGCTTGAGTTCTTCTCCTTGATAAGACAACGCACTAAAAACATAGAGAGAAAAATACATGTTTAAAATAATTAACCAGAAGAAGACAACTCTAGAGTTTTTAAATGGCTGATAAGATTTTAATTTGCTGCAAATTGAAAATAACTATATTGCTTGTGTTTTAAGGCACATAATGAGCAATTATATCACACATGATAGATTCAGCAGTAAAATATCATCCTTTAACAGCTGGTACTCATAAAAGCATAGCACAATGTGAAGATGGAATTTGCTAAAATAAACCATCTTCTGAAAACTACTATTCTGTAAATTTAAAAACAAAGTTTATATGTTATTTGTCTTATTTAATAGGTCTGTGAAAAAATGAGATATTTGAAAAGTAGTTGTTACCTTAATTAGTTCTTTATATTAGACAGCTGGTTACAGTAATGCACAGTAAGGTACTACATACAAATATTGCTAAATTTTCTGCATATACTATGTATTTAGCTTAAATTATTTGAAATTTTATAGTTAAAGTAACAAATGTATATTTAAATGTTTTGAAACAAATTGCAAATATACCTTTAAAAAGCGTCTTACACTCTAAATATTATTTGTCACCTATATATTTGTCTTTTCTCTATAGGAAAGTTTAAATTTTTCCCTTGAAGCTTTAATTATTTCAGTCTATAAAATAAACTGATAATGTTCAAATCAACAGGAAAAAAAGGTTTACAGATATGTGCACAAGTATGCACTTGGAGTTTACATAATATATATATAAATATATATACAAATATTTGTATATTATAAATAGATATACAAATATATACTATATATATAAAAACTCCAGGAATGGCAAGGTAGTCAACACGCCTATGCTGTCTTGAGGTTACAGAAAACAGACCTGTAGGTTGGTCAATCAGTCTTTGCGGAAGACAAGTGACAACAAGGAAGACAGAGGAGCCTGGCAGCAGAGGTAGTCTTGTTACACGGATGAAACCTCACAGGGAGCAGCCCTCCTCTTGGGAAGTATAGATAAGAAATGCTTTTTAGAAATGTAAACGTGCCAGACTCAGTTAATCTTTCCTAAACACAGACAAGGGAGTATCTCAGGGAAAGCCTGTCTATATCAATGCAGATTTTCTCTACAAATGCAAATCTCCCCAACAAACACAACTTTTCAGCTATTCTTGTAGAAGAAGCTATTTCCAGTCTTCCGAGTAGCCATCTTGAAATATGTCAAAAAGGCCAGGCGCACGCCTGTAATCCCAGCATTTTGTGAGGCTGAAGTGGGTAGATCACCTGAAGTCAGGGGTTGGAGACCAGCCTGACCAACATGGTGAAACGCCATCTCTACTAAATACAAAATATTAGCCGAGTGTGGTGGCGCATGCCTGTAATCTCAGCTACTTGAGAGGCTGAGCTAGGAGAATTACTTGACCCTGGGAGGCTGAGGTTGCAGTGAGCCAAGATTGTGCCATTGCACTCCAGCCTGGGCAATAAAAGCAAAACTCCATCTCAAAAATAAAAGTATTTTAGGGTAATATTTTGAGTATCTTTACCTCCATATGTACAATAAATATTATTGTGATTTTTAATCTTTAAACTTCTGTGGAGAAAACACAGGTGTGATTTCTAGTGTAGCTGAACATCACATATATTTGACAATATTGCACTTTGTGTGTGTGTGTGTGTGTAGCTACTCTTTACCTTTGCTGTCACTTAATGATTACATATTAACAATTCAGTAACATGTATGTTTTGCAATATTTCTCCATGTTATGCTTTAAGTTAGATTAATCATGCCCCTATAATGTGTACACTTTAACCCTTGACTATAGGTCTCGATCTTACTTTGGCTCCTGTATTTGAATTTATGATAATAAAGTCCTACAGCTAAAAAGGATTATATAAACTTATCTACATTTTTACTAGTATTCTGGTGTCATTTTAAATTATGTAATGAAATCAAATTTTAATTTGGATTATTGTTATCTGAGTTAAGGATCTAAATTTTTAATTTTCTTATATATGTTACATAACTATTTCTGAACCATATATTGACTAATCTGTCCTTTATATGATGTGCATTATAAGAGCTTGGGATTGATTCATTTGCAAAGATGAATGCTTGAGAAGTAGATATTTAATCTTAACATTTCAAAATCTACTGGATAACCTAGAATTGAAAAATAGCCTACAGGTTGAAAAACTCCTGTAGTGAAGAAAGAAAATAACTAATATAAAGTGACAATATAAATATTATAAATATTTATTTTATTATCGCCCTGAAATTTGATAATACAAACATGTAATATCTACATATCATCCATATATCAGGTCATAAAAAATCAATGCACTCTTCAAAAATTTAGCATAACAGAAAATGCACTCTCTCTCCTTGATGGAATTAAGTTACAAATAAAAGTAAAAATAAGTAGATAAGTAGATGGAAGTAGATGTTTAAAAACAAAGAAAAATATTTGTTTTGGATAACATAAAAACTCAATTGACAATTCCAATATTTCAAGAACTTTGAGCTGTCAACCGGTGGAGAGTTTTCCCCAGGAGACATTTGTCAATATCTAGGGTTTTTGTGGGGATGTCAAGACTGGTGGAGGTGTGAAATTTAGAGGTCAAACGAATCACCTAGCATTGCTAGGGCAGCCTCCCACAACAAAGAATCCTCTGGTCCTAAAGGAAAGTACACCAAGGTTGAGAAACCATAATATAGAAAGTAAACACTATGTAGCTATTCCAAGTGCTCAGGAAAACACATCAGTGCCCTCGAGGGGAAAAGTGTAAACATTTTAATTGCTGTACATGGTGACACAAATCCATGTTGTTAATCTAAGTGGAAGGGGCTGAAGCACAAAACGTAATTCAAATAGTATACTTGAGCCACAATGAGGACAGCTGCCTGGAAGAAACAGACCCAAGTATCCTTGGATATGAACTCCCTTCGGAGCTTTGCAACAAGCAGTTTCTTAAAGGCAAAAAAGGGTCCAGAAATGGGATGATGCAAAGAGGTTTGTCACAAATTCTCATTGGCTTATGGAACTCACATTTATTAGTGACTGGATATACACTGTTACACTATTATTGGGTGTGGATTGTAGTGTCTGGTGTGGCATTATTGGTTAATTTATAGCTACTGTGGCAACAGCAAGCAGCCTAGATGAACACACAGCTCAAAGAGGAGCAGGACAGAACTGCTGTCTCATTTGAATAACTCTCTGGGCCTGATTATTTCAAAGGACTTGCGTTTCTCACGTGAAAGTTATTTTCTTTTCTCAATGTCAATAAATGAGAATAAATAGACATAAAATAGATCTTTTCGAGGATGAAATAAATGGTATAAAAAACAAAACCCAAACTGACCAGAAATCATAGAGGGAAGAAAAGGTTATAAATATATGGATTTTTCAAAGTGATTTTAAGCTATTAGGAATCAGTTAAATGTTGGGGTATTTTGTCTGAGTATAGGCTAAAGGAGAATGTCCCTTTTGCCTTCTGAAGTTTCCCTGAAAATCACTAATAGGAGGCAGATAAATAGTAGAAAAGGCATACAGGTTTCTGCAATGTGTGTACACTGTAGCCCTTAGAATGAAGACCCACACACAAGATGGGTGCAGAAGCTTGTCTACCACACGAAGTTTACAGAAAGAATGGGGTCTTGGATCACAGGGAAAAAGAAAAAGATTATGTGAGAAAAGGACCCTGACTAGCAACAGTGGACTTATTACGTAGGTGAAACCTCACTGGGAGCAGTCCTCAGAGAGAATAGAGAGAAAATGTTTCTTTCAGACCTTTGGAGACCTCAGACGCTCAGTTAACCTTTCCTAGATCCAGACAAATTAGCAGACCTCAGAGAAAGCCTGGCTGCATCAAAGTAGATTCTCTACAGATGCAAATCTCCCCAAGACAGTTTTGCAGCTAAGTTTGCATTTCCAGCCCTTCTGAATAGCCATTTTGATATATATCACGGAAATATATTTTGGGGTAAAATATATTGGATTCCTTCATACAGCTATAAAACATACAGAAATAATTTTTGTCAGTGTCTACTACAAATCCAATATAGCAGTAATTATAAAACCCACCAGATATTGAAGAAAAAATATGTAGAGTACATCACTTACAAATATTGATACTAAAATGCCAAATAAAATAAAAATAATATCCAACAATATTTGAAACAGTAAGACAAGAAATTGGCAAAAAAAAACAAAGAAAACAAATATCCACCTTGGGGATGAAAGTGTGACTCCAAACGTGGTGATCCAATAATATTAATAATCATATTGATTACTCCAAATAAACAATAAATAGGGGATTCTCAGTACATGCTAAAATATATTTGTTAAAAGGTAATATTCATGTCTTTAAAGATTTTAAATGCTATAAAGAGTCTGATATTCTATATGCAAACGTGTATATGTCTATTAGAAGAAGAGAGGCTTGATTTTCATATGTTACTACATAGAGATAGAGAAATGGATAGATTAATTTGCATATTCATAGAGAAATCATAAAATAGAAATTTACTATCATACTTAAAGGAATTTAAATTCAACAATAAAATAATTCAAAGGTAAAATTTTAAATATTTTTAACAGTTACATTATTATTAGATAATATAATAATTGTGAAAATATTCAATGCTAAAATAAGATAGAATGTCTAAACCTCAGTATTAAAACCAGTATAAATATTTGCTTGTTTATACAAGGAAAATTCAAGCTCAACCTAAAATTATGTAGGAAATAAAAGAAAAATTTTAAGGGAGCTCTTTAATAACACAAACATATATATATATATACACACACATATAACATGTATACATGTTATATGGGATAGATATAGATTTAACATGTTATATCTATATTTGTATCTATCTATGACTACAGCTGTATGTATCTACATTTCTATATATTTACTCAGTGATGTAAATATAGACTGGAATAAATATAAAGGCCCATATGACTCTTGGATAAAAAGGATTTAGTATCATAAAGACAAATTCTTTCCAAAATCACCTATGAATCCACAACAATATACAGTTTCGTTAGTATAATTTAAAATTTTTAAATAAATTCCAAGATTCATTTAAGGGAATATACACGTATACCAGCAGCAAAGAAAGAAGTAAGAGTGCACTAAACTAACTTGTTATTAAAATACATTTTTAAACTTAGTAACTAAAACTGAGCAGTACTGATTTGGAGTACTGGAATTTAGGTATATGGGATCTCAAAAGCATAGAGCTCAAAGGAGACCCCTGTATGCACGAGAGCTTAGGACGTGCTTTAGAAGGCATTACCAAACCACGGGCAAAGTTATTTTAGTGTCTTAGTCTTACTAGGTTTGAAAAGCCAGAGAAAAGACTCAAGGCAACCATATAAGAGCAAAACAAAAGGACAGGGAGAGAATGTGAAGATACTGAAACATTTTACATAAAGTAGTATAAAACATACTTTAAAGAAAATGTAAAGTTTAGGATATACATCAAAATCAGCAAAACCACTTAATAAATAAATAGGCATTGTAAAGTAGCAAGAGAAAATTTAAATGGATTTCTAAAAAATATTGACACCTATGATTTTTAAAATATGTTTAAGAAATCCCGTATTTCACAGGGCAGCCTTTCACAACATAGATATATTAGGACATAAAGGCCCTTCTGTTTTTAATTTACTAGTGTTTACAGGGTTAAAATTGTTTTCTACCCTTGTCTTTTGTCTGATGGTGCAAAAAATTTTCATGAGCATGTACTTCTGAATGCCTGATGGATTGACATATATAATATGCTGCTAGTATTAAAATATGTGACAGAAAACGCATCTAAACTTCTTACTGTTTGCATAAATTCTAGGTTTCTCCTATTTACCTCAAGCACGTATGGAGCCAATTCTTACCTTTTAATATTGCCATGGCATTCACATTGAACGTAAGTTGAACTCTCTCATATGGTAGCTGGGTTCAGATTCCCTTGACAATTCTTCACAGTTCCTCAGTGTGGCTGGCCCAGATATTGACCCTACACAGTTGCCTCCTCCTCGTGACTACCCGCTATGGAACCGTTGGATACAACCTACCTGACTCACCCCACAGACCTCACAGCACACATGGACAGCTCCCAAACGCCAGAGTGACCTGCTCAGTTGCAGCAGGAGCCAAGAAATATGCCTGCTGGCACTCACCCCACTGACTAGAGCCCCGTGGAAAACTTATTTGGGTAATGTTCTGGGCCCAATAAAGGCTGGAGTCCCACAGACCCCTTTTCTCTCTCTTGCTCACCACTCGCCTTCCCCATTTTGTTCATCCCTATGAAGTGTGCTACTGTATTAGTCCATTTTCACACTACTGGTAAAGACATGCCCAAGAGTGGGTAATTTCCAGAAGAAAGAGTTTTAATAGACGCACGGTTCCTCATGGCTGGGTAGGTCTCACAATCATGGCGCAAGGTGAAAGGCATGTCTCACGTGGCAGCAGACAAGACAAGAGAGCTTGTGCAGGGAAACTCCCCTTTATAAAACCATCAGATCTTGTGAGACTTATTCACTATCAGAAGAAAAGCATGGGAAAGACCTGTCCCCACGATTCAATTACCTCCAATCTGTTCCCTCTCACAACATGTGGGAATTCAAGATGAGATTTGGCTTGGGACACGGCTAAACCCTCTTCTCAGCTACCCTCTTCTCTCTGGATCTATGAGTAATAAAACCACTTCTGTGATTTCCCATGTTTGGTCCTGTGACCTCCATGTGCCTGAGCTGACCTACACTGGAACCTAACTCTCCTCCTGGCCAGGGTCTCTGAGAGTGGCTCTTGTCAGAAATACACAGGGCACAGGTCAGGCAACAGTCATCAGGCATCTCCTAGTCTCAACAGATGTTCTGTGAGAGGGAGGCCTGGTCGTGGGATGCACACCTGGCCACTGCTGGGGTAAGGAAGTGTCCTGTGAAAGGCTTATGTTAAGCATCCACAACCCCCTGACCAGAACCCCAGAAAGGCAGGGCTCCAATTGACAGCCAATCTCCAGAGACAAACCTCAAGCCCTAACTGGAGGAAAATAAAACAATGTAAAAATTTGAATTTATCTTACTATTTCAATGATCCAATAAAGACATTCTATGCCTGTACACCACATATTTTCTTCCATTGTGGATATATTTTAGATAAAATTTTAGGTCTGGCTGTCACTTTAGCCTGTTCCCTATCTCAAGCATAAGGTAAAGATTTTCCATGGGTTCTTTTCTGGTACTACTACCTGCCAGTGTGGGCTCATGTCCTAGTCTGTCTTGAGGGAATCCCCCTATTCATTATTGTCAGAGTGAGACTGTTAAGTCTTGATTTCCCTGGACAACTTCATTGCATGACTTTTAATATGATTTTTAAATATATCCTTTAGTGGACAATAAATTACATAGGTATCTGAGTAAGAGATATGGTCAGGAAGAGGCATTGCCTCATTCAGCTTTTCTGTTTGGTGAACTTGCATATGTTCTCCTCACCCACCAGTCACCTCTAAACCGTATTGTTCCAAGACAACAAGCAGAACTTGAGTGTGTATCTTTCATCACGGGATTTGTCTTTGCTTCATAAAGCTTAATGCTTAATAGGGTTTCTATTAGCATTTTCTCTATTTATTTTCCCATAAAATATCACAGGCCTTCTTCATATGGAAATATGGGTGATTTCCTTCAATCTGCATCATATCAAGTTGAGGCTCATGTTGATGGAAAGTAAAACATACGTTTAAAATATCAGTAATGATGTTTTCCCCTCCTTCTTAGCACATGTGCTTGTGAGAGTCATTGTAATACAATTGTAGTCTCATGCTTTGATCATTCCTAAGATGAAAATAACATTTTTAGATAAAATATCTGAGTCTTATGAGGCCTTTTGTATATGATGTGATAGAATATCGGAAGACCATAATTTTTTTCTAGTTTTCCATGCAATTCTATCATTGTTTCATCTTTACTCCTACCAGAGTAATTTTCCAGAATAGATATCTTGTCATTCTTCCTGTTGTTATCAGTAAATAAGTGAAACGAAAAGCTAGATTATATAATTTATCTAGAACAAGAAAGCAGAAGTGAATCTACATTCATTAATGAAACTAACCAGTCAGTTACACAGATAGGCATTTTACATTTTGAAGATCATATGGACCCATTGTCAGATATATTATTATTTATGTCTACATGGACATCACCTGTGCATATTTATGTAGAAATCAATGAGAGCTCATTTTTATTTGTATTATATATATTTTTTGAGATAGGATCTTGCTTTGTTGCCCAGGCTGGGGTGCAGTGGTGCAATCACTGCTCACTGCAGATTCAACCTCCCAAGTTCAAGCAATCCTTCCACCTTGGCCTCCCAAATAGCTAGGACAACAGGTGCACATCACCATGCCCAACTTTTTTGTTTTTAACTTTTGATAGAGACTGGGTCTTGTTATGTTGCCCAGGTTGCTCCTGAACTCCTGGGCTCAAGGAATCCTCTCATTTCAGCCTCTTCAACTGCTGGTATTACAAGCATGAGCCACCATATGGGCTGGAAGCTGATTTTTAAAATACTGAGATCATATAGATGACAGCACCTGAAAAATAGACAACACCAAGCTTTATGTTAAAAGGTGTGAGGATATCAATATTGTTGTGGCTATTGGGGAGGAAAACATTAGTAAAACCAGTAAGTTAAAGCTGTTGCTTCAAACTTTGGCTTTAATTCAACAAATGTTCTCTGTGGTGATAGTATGTATATAACCATGCTATGCCCATTCAGAGATGCAGTAGAGGGAAGAATTTCTCAAAGACAACTGTTCTAAGATTGAAATTAAACCATACTGGGTTTGAAAAGAGAAAGTCCAGGAATTACCAAATATTTTAGATATCAGATAAAAGAGAGTGCCAGGTATGCGATGATAATCAGCAATGGTTGCTCACACAGTATATCAAATCAGTATTTGAATTAGCTTTTGAATTACAAGGACAAATGGATCAAGTCTTGACTCTCTAGTAGATAAATCTTAATAGGCTGAGATGTGTTTTCGCCTGTTTTTGCAAATTTGCAAACCTCAGCTGCTCTTATTTTATGCTCTCACCAATCCAAAAGCTGAAGTTCATCAATCAGTGTGTCTAAGTGTTCACTAGTTATATACCATTTTGTAGTTTAGGCTATCTCTCCAACTTCCTAAATCATCACCTTCATTTGACCTTATTTTTTTCCACTATCACTTCTTTATTGACCATATAAAGAATACAAGTAAGTTCTTATTTTGTTATTGTTCATTTTAGTCTAATCTCATCAAAATATCATAATTCTTTAATTTCATTTTAATTTCAAAGATTAAATTAAACCTACATATAAATGAGTGTAAGATTGCATTTGCATTATTTTGGCATCAATTTGCTATCCTCCTTCATACCCATAGAGATCATTTCCATGTACGTGATTTCAAACATCCAAGTGCAGTATTAAAAGCAGTTGTAAATTATGGTTCTCATTTTCATGATACAATTACTATATAAACTTCCTCTTGGTGCTGTAACAAATTATCACGAAATTCATATCTTACCATAAAGTGACTGTTAAGCCTACAGTTCCGGAGTTCAGAAGCCTTAAATGAGACTCATAGGGCTAACATCAAGTTTTGGGCAGGGCTGCAGTCTTTCCGAGGGCTCTGTGGCAGAGTCTATGTACTTTATTTCTTTCAGCATGCAGAGGCCATCTTTATTCCTTGGAACACGACCTGATTCTTATATCTTTTTTTTTTTTTTTTTTTGAGACAGCGTCTCCTTCTGTCGCCCAGGCTGGAGTGCAGTGGCACGATCTCAGCTCACTGCAACCTCTGTCTCCCGGGTTCAAGCGATTCTCCTGCCTCAGCTTCCTGAGTAGCTTGGACTACAGTCACGTGCCACCATGCCCAGTTAATTTTTTGTACTTTTAGTAGGGATGGGGTTTCACCATGTTAGCCAGGATGGTCTCGATCTCCTGACCTCGTGATCCACCCACCCCGGCCTCCCAAAGGGGTGGGATTAGGCGTGAGCCACCACGCTGGGTCCTCATTCTTGTATCTTAAAAGTCAGTGATGTTGAGTAATTTCTCATGCCACCACCTCCATGGTTGCCTTTCTTCTACCTTCTTCTTTCACTTATAAGGAAGCTTGTGATTTCATTGATCCCAACCATTTAAGATAATCTCTCCATCATTTTATTGCAACCTTAATTTCACTTGAAATCTAATTTTCCACTGCCATGTAACCTAACATATTTGTATGTTAGACTCTGGGAATTAGGACATGAACATTTTTGGAAGGCCATCCTTTTGTCTACAGCAGACATAATGTATTTACCTCCAGATTAAAGTGTTCTTTATTTTTCTTCCTCCCTGTCTTAATTTTTTTTAAATAATATGAATTGTAGTAAAGAGAAAGAAAGAAAAGAAAAGAAAGTAAAAAAAGGAAGGAAAGAAGGAAGGAAGGAAAGAAAGAAAGAAGAAAGAAAATAAGGAGGAAATGAGAGAAGGAAGGAAGGGAGGGAGGGAGGAAGGGAGAAAGGCAGGAAGGGAGAAAAAAGAAAGAACACAAGAAAGAAAGAAAGAAAGAAAGAAAGAAAGAAAGAAAGAGAAAGAAAGAGAGAGAGAAAGAAAGTGAGAAAGAAGGGAAGGAGGAAGGGAGGAAGGAAAGGATGAAGAGAGAATGGTAAGAGGGAGGAGGGCAAAGAAAGAAAATAAAGAGAAAAGGAAGGAAGGAAGGAAAAATAAGGAAAGGAAGGGAGGGAGGAAGGAAGAAAAGGAGGGAGGGAGGATGGTAGAAAAAAGAAAGAAAGCAAGGAAGTGAGAAAGAAAGAATAAGAGAAAAGAAGGAAGAAAAGAAGGGAGGGAGAAAGGAAGGGAAGGAGGAGGGAAGGAAGAATCAGAGGAAAGAAAGTAAGAAGCAAAGAAAGAAGGAAGGAGAAAAAAAGAAAGAAAAAGGAAAAGAAAAAAGAAAAGAAAGAGGAAAAGAAGAAAGGAAGGAAGAAGGGAAGGGAAGAGAAGAGAAAGGAAGATGGAAAGAAGGAAGGAAGACCGCAAACGTTAGAAATTCTGGGTTTGTTAGAGAATATGCCATACTGTTTTTTTTTTCACTTGAAAGGAAAGAGTATCTGCCATTGAAGAATGGATGTCTTGTTGGTGATATTGTTCTTACCTTCCATATGATTACTGAGTCTGTGCCTAGTCTGTCCCTTACTAAGACAAAAGTTTTGAAGTCTGCAAATATAATTTTGGATTTTTCTAGTTCACCTTTGATTTCTTTCATGTTTTACCTCATGTATTTGGAGGTTCTGTTGTTAGCTGCATACCCTAATTAGTAGGAGGTTTACATCTTCTTGAGAATTGATTATTATATTATCTGTTATCTCTCATCTCTGATACTATTTCTTGTTCTGAGCTCTGTTGTGTCTAATATCAATGTAGTCCTTCCACAGCTTTATTTTAGTGTTTCCATGATATGGCTTTCTCCATATCTTGATGATAACCTATTTATATCTCTATATATTTGGAGCAAGATATAAAATTTAGAGTTGATTTTTTAAAGATTTTCCAAGATGTAATTCTTATTTATTTTTGTTCTACTGACATTCTCTGAGTTTCCTATATCTGAAGTTTGATTTTCTGTCACTTCTTTTAGAATATTTTTGGCAGTTATTTTGAAAAATATTTCTTTTGTTCCATTATTTTTTCCTCTTTTCTTTTTGGGATTTCAATTATAACTAGGGTAGGTAATTTCATCTCAGTCTTATGCAGGTACTTTTTCTCAGGATCTCAGGAATGTAGACTTCTCACACTTCTGTTCTTTTCCTGGCTGTGTTGGTAAGCTCAGTGATATTCCTCCTTCACCTTCAAGAGCAGTTTTGTTTTGTTTTTCCTGTTTTCATACTCCCAGCATCAGGAGTATTCTAGGTGTGTCAGTTTTTGTTACCTTCCCCTACATATTAAGTGGAATATCTTGGTCTATTTGGACTCTTATAACAAAATAACATGAACGGGGTAACTAAAAAACAACAGATATTTCTTTCTTCACACTTCTTGAGGCTGTAAGATCTCAGGTCAAGATGCTCACAAATTCAGTGTTGATGAGAGCCCATTTCATGTTTCATAGATGGTGCCTTCTTTCTATGTCCTCACATAGTGGAAGGCACACAAGAACTCCATTGAGCTTCTTTTATAAAGGCAATAATCCCATTCATAAGGGCTCGGCCCCCAAGACCTGGTCACCTCCCAAGTGTTCTGCTCTCCCTCATCTGTATCATATACAGACTCTCTTGGATTCCTTACCAATTGCTTGAGAGATCACAGTGGGTTTGTGAGGAAAAAGTTTTCAAGATGATGGATCTTTCCCAACTTCTGCAGCTGTCAGCCGTCTCCCAATCTGACCAGCCCCACTTTGTCCTTAGGAATTTGATTATTCCAGCTTTACTTTTCATAGTGGTGTCTATTTGCATCTGTCCTATGTAAGTGCATCTGTCCTCTTTCTCCTTGCAGGTGCTTGCTTTCCCTCACATTTTGACTGAGTTCTTGGCAACCTGGTTGGTATAAAAATAAAGTCATGACTTTGAAGTTAGTTTGGTTATTACATTGTTATAACGTTAGGAGACCTACTCCATCCCAGCTCTGTAAAACCCAGAATTTTTGGGGGGTTGAAATTTTAGGCTTTCTCTTTGAATTATAGTTTTATCTTATTTCAGTTACAATTTGCATTTTAATAATGATTAATGAGACTAAGCTTTTTTCGTGTAGTTGACTGTACCTTTGGATTTTTTTCCCAAATCCCTTTTCATTTCTTATTTTCTTTATGGTTTCAGAAAATGTAGTTTACATAATTGCAGCTTGATTTTTTAATCAGTTAATGGCATGCTTAATGGAGAGAAAAAATATTAACTATATTTCCCTTTTTAATTACTGTGCTTTTTTCTTTTTTAAGGAAATATTTCATTATGTTAAATTTCAGTGTTATTCTACTTAGCTATTCCTTAAATATTATAGTATTTTGGATTTCACATATAAATCTGTAACACATCTTGAGTTTTTTGTATATAGAGTAAGGCTATTTTCTCTTGCTTGTTTTTTAAGGCAAAAATCACATAATATAAAATTAATAACTTAACCATTTTAAAACATACAATGCAATTGCTTTTAGTATATTCACAATGTTCCAGGACAATTTCATCATGTGCCTTCTAAAAACCCATTATGCATAAAGTTGTTACACCTTATTCTGCTTCCCTGAGCCCTAATGACCACTAATCTGATTTATATCCCAATTGATTTGCCGATTCCTGATGTTTCATGTGAATAAAATCAAGTAATGTTGGCCTTCTCTGAACTTAACATAATGCTTTCAAATTTCACCCCTATTATACCATGTATAAGTACTTCATTCTTTGTTATAGCTGGAAATTGGGTGTCCATTTATGAGTCAAAAAGCATATGGATTGTTTCCACTTTTTGACTGTATGAATATTACTGCTGTAAATATTCATGCACATGTTTATTTTTTGAGCACCTATGTTTTGTAAGAGTAACAGCTGACTTAACAGAAACAATGGAAGGCAAGAGGCAGTAGAATAATATAGTCCAAAGATGCAAAGGAAAAAAAAACTGTCAGCCACCAATTCCTTATCCAGCAATTATTTTTCGAAAATGAAGATAACACAAAGACTTACCCAGATAAACAGAAATATTAACTGAAGTTGTTGCTGGCAGACCTACCATAAAAAAAAAAAAAAAACTAAAATAAATTCCTAAGGCTAAATGCAAGTTACACAAGACAGTCATTTGAATCCACATTTTTAAAAAAGCACTGGTATAGGTAATATTAACATTATAAAAGACAGTATAAATGCATGTTTTCTCCTTATCATAAATTGTTTATAAAATAATATGTGTATAACGGCCGGGCACGATGGCTCATGCCAGTAATCTCAGCACTTTGGGAGCCCGAGGCGGGCGTATTACGAGGCCAGAAGATCGAGACCATCCTGGCTAACACAGTGAAACCCCGTCTCTACTAAAAATACAAAAAATTAGCCGGGCGTGATGGCGGGCGCCTGTAATCCCAGCTACTCGGGAGGCTGAAGCAGAAGAATGCATGAAGCCGGGAGATGGAGCTTGCAGTGAGCGGAGATTGTGTCACTGCTCTCCAGCCTGGGCGACAGAGGGAGACTCCGTCTCAATGATAATAATAATAATATGTGCATAATGTATTGCTGAGTATTTGACATGTAGAAATGGAACATGTCTATAACATATTTTCCAGTAACATCAAAAAGGAGGTAGTTGGAAGAAAAATGTATTGTGATAAGGTAATCCCTCTAGATGGTAAAGTAATAATTACTAAAATGTATTGTTGACTTTGTAACTTTAATAGATGTAATGTGTAAATTGATACTACCTTAAAATGGAGGAAATAAAAGAGATTTGTAAAAGAATGATGTTTCTATGTATTACTAAAAGTTTACCAGTATAAATTGGAAGACGATTTGAATAATTAATTTTCCATATACTTATATGGTAAACTTACAACAACAACAAAAATTCTCAAAAATTTATAGTAAAATAATTCATTAGTAATCTAAAGTTCCCTGTTTTAGAAAATATTCATTCATTGCAAAATACAGCAATAAAGAAAAATATTTGGGAAATATACAAAACAAACGGTAAAATGGCAGACATAAATAGAATTATACCAATTATAATATTAAATGTGAGCAGATTAAATTCCAATCAAGAGGCAGAGATTGTCAGACTGGATTAAAACAAGCGATCCCAATATACGGTGAGATGCAAGGATACTAATGGATTGAAAGTAAAAAGATGACAAAAAATATCATGCAAAGAGCAATCATAAGAAAACTGAACTCATTATACTCATAACACACGAGGTAGACTATTAAAATGTGAATAGGATTTTAAAAATTTATATTGTAGTAATAAGAGGGTCAACGCTTTCGGAAGACATAGCTATTACAATCATGTATGCACAGATAGGAGCTAAATTGTTTCCTCTATATAGATGCTGAAATCCTAACCACTGAATATGACCTCATGAGGAAATAGGTTCTTTGCAGGTGATCAAGTTAAGATAAAATCGATGAGCCTGAATTCCATATGACTGATGTCCTTATAAAAAGAAGAAATTTGAGTAGAGGGAGACATACACACAGGGAGAGTACCATGTGATTATGAGGGCAGAGATTAGCCAAGGAATGCAAAAGACTGCCACTAAACCACCAGAAGCTAGAAACAAGGCATAGAACAGACTTTCTCTCATAGCCCTTGAAGGGACCATCCCTGCTGACACCTCAATCTCAGACTTTTAGCTTCCAGGACTATAAGACTATAAATGTATGTTGTTCAAGGCACCCAGTTTGTGTTACTTGGTTATGGCAGCCCTATAAAACTAATACATGAACTAATAACAAAGCATAATAGCATGAAGAAAAAATTGACAAAAGAGGAGCATCAGCAAAACGGCAGTGGAGACAGCTGCAATCTTTCATTTCCCCACAGAAACATCACACAACTAAGAGAAACTGTCCGAATAAACTTTGCCAAATCTCTGGAAAATGGTCAAAAGATTACAACAACCGAGTGAAAGCAGACTCAAGAGAAAGACAACTGGAAAACTTTATGACATTTTTAACTTGCCTTTGCCCCAGCAAATTGGCAGTTTTGAAGTGTCAGAAGCCCACGTTCCCAGTGAGGAACCCTGGTCCATGGTCCAAAGGAACAAGAGAAGATCTTAGCCGCAAATTATTATGTGTCTGTTCTGACTGGTCTGGGGAAAACCTAAAGGACTAATGAAAGGCTTTTTTTTCTTCTGTGTTGCTAGAATACAGAAGACATAAGGAATGGACATTATTAAGAAACTCTGCAAGGAGACCTAACAAACCACAGATGCTTAGGGCAAAAATTAGAGTTTACACATATAGTAGATCACCTTCAGCACAGCAAGAAAAGTTGGAGAAGAGTATTTGGAAAACTAAGACATTCAAAATCATTCACGGACATGGGAGAGTCTAGAAAGTCACATGTATGCATAGGTTAAGCCCAATGCTGACATATGTCATAAGAAGACCCTACACTTTTACCTTGGCTGATCCCTCCCCTCAGTGCTAGCTCTGTGCAAGAGTGAACTTGAACTTCACTCAGTGCAAGAGTGAACACACACTTTGTGCCGGCTTTAAAGAACCCAGCACAAAGCCAGTCTGCATGGCTTAGAGACACATTTTGCTGGATAATGATTCCTTGTTTTTCATTTTTTGTTGTATTTGCCTGTTTGCTTAGTTCCTGACATACAAGAAAATCACTGTCAAAACATTAGCTTAACATTTGTTAAGGAAACAAAAAGACTTCAGTGACCACACCTTATAAAGCAAACAGTTTTGTAAATCACTTTGGAAAATTTCACTAAAAATTAAAACCTTAACAATAATAAGTAAATAAAACTTAAAACCACAAAACATTAGTGTGTTTGTAAGAGGGGTCTGATTTACAGAGTAACCACATAGTAATTATAATTATTATAATGTCCAGTTTTCAAAAATTTACAAGGCATACAAAGAATGGGAAAGTATGGCTCATTCAAAGGAACAAAATAAATTGACAGAAAATATCTCTAAGGAAACCCAGACATCAAACTTACTAGACAAAGACTTTAAAACAACTCTCTTCATTATACTCAAATGTCAAAAGGAAAACAGAAACAAAGAAATATAGGAACCAGAAAAAATATTAAAAAGTAGGAATATCAACAAAGAGATAACAGAAATTTTGGAGTGGAAAACTACAATGATAAAAATTTAAAAATCACCAGAGGGATACAAGAGTATATTTGCACACACAGAAGAAGTCATGAGCTTGAAAATAAGAAAGTGGAAAATATTGACTCTGAGAAACAGATAAAAAATGAGCAGAGACTAAGGAATCTGTGGGACATCATCAAATACACCAACATTCATATTCTAGAAGGATAAATTATGTTGTTGAAAACTTTACCATTCTTTCTTTTCACCTTTCTTTCTTCCTCCCTCCCCTCCTCCTCCTTTTTACTTTTCTTCCTCTTCCTTTCTCTTATTTCTCTCCTTCATTATCCCTTTCGCTCTGTTTCTCTTTCTCCCTTTCTCTTTTTTCTTTTCTTTCAATTTTCTCAATTACTAAGAGATGTTTAAATACCCTTACCATGTTAGTACATATGGTTACTTATCCCTTTAGTTCTCTTTTGAGATTTATAGTCACTCTAAGTAAAGAGATAACCCAAACATAAGCCCCACAAACAGGCTTCCATTCCATTCTTAATTTGGTCCTGTAATTCTTCGTTGCTCTATTAACTTTCTGATGCTTTTAAGGACGTTTTATAACAAATTGTTTAGTTTTTTCCAATGGAATGTTTATTCTGAATTATCTAATTCATATTGTAAGTATATAGGGAGTTTAATATAAAATTATTAAACTAATATTTGTGAAAAAAATGTATTTGTGCATTTAACAAATATGTTAATCCTCCAACTGTTATTGGGCAGCTGAGCATACAGCAATGAAAATAACATAATTTTTATGTGTACGATATTTATGGAATACTTTACTGGAACAAATAAATAATTTAGTTAATAACATGACAAAGAAGAGAAATGGTATACACTATAGAGCACAGTAATGGAATAATGAATGATTCAAGTTATTAATATTAGGTAGAAAATGAAGGGTATCTTTGAGAGCAGATCTCAAGGAAGCAAGGAATTCGCCTTATGAGGAAAGAGTTACCTGTGGATAAAGGGGAATCTGAAAAATTTAGAAGTCAAGACTTTTTGAGCAAAAACAAAAATATGACTATTAGTCACCAATTCAGCACAGTGAAAAAAAAGTTGAAGAGATATCTTGGAAGTAAACCATGTTGTGGAAGAGCATGTAGGGTTTTGATAATCATGGGATTATTCTGAATTAATTTTAAATGCGATAGGAATATATGAGATAATTTCACCAGAGAATAACATGATTGTGTTTGCATTTCAAAGGGGTGTATCTGGTGCACTGTGTAGAATAAGTAGGTCATGTGAGCAAATATATGGGGAGGCTATTGTAATCCAGAGAAAAAAGGTAGTGACTTAGGTGAGAATGCTGTCAGGATGAGTGGTATTAGTGGTGAGAAGTCGTTAGGCCGTGGATGTATTTCATAGGACTGGCCAAGAGAACTGCAGCTAAATTGGAGTGTAGGGAGTGAAATGGAGAACTCAAAGATGACTCTCAGCACTGGAAGGTGACAGCTGTCACTGAAGCATGCTGATGCCTCTTATTAAGAGAGTTACTTGGGAATGGCAAGATCAAAACTTCTCACTTTCAAATTTATGAAAAATATTGTTTTCAGAACGAATGACTTTGGGATCAGAAAGCCATCATTCTAATTGATGGTTCCAAGACTACACGGGCTCACACTCCCAAGAGCAAAAGTAAATCATCACAAAGGTGCTTCCTGATAATTCTAGAGAATGGAGAATTACTGTAACATCTTTCTGATTTTAGGAGAGGTAGCAGTTCCCTTTTTAGCCTAAATGCTATTTTTTTTAAAGCTCAGCCAAGAGACTCCATTATAATTTTCAAATGTGCATAACTTAACTTCTCATATTAAATACTACAATGCTTAAATTAGTCAAAACATTTTCCCCATCTACAACTCTATCTTTTCATTGCAATGATTTTCACAAAAGTGACTGCAGCTCACAGACCCTAAAAGGGGAAAATCTAGGGTAGGTTATCTGATCTAGTTAGTTTTGAAGACGGGATATAGAGATTATTTAATATGAAATAGGTCACCTGTAATGAAGTGTTTACTGAAAACAGCTTGGGTCAGCCCAGTTTTCTACCACTGAACCATGCATTTGGTTTAAAAAACACAACAACTCTGGGGAATATTGGCTGCTTCCAACTGCTTTGAAGGTGTTAAAGAAAAGAGCATAAAATTAAAAATGATCATCTGAGGCCTTTATAGTCTCTGCTCAAGAGACTAGCGTCTTCCATTCTTAACGAAACACCCAAATATCTTAATAATTGGGCAAAATCTAAATATCAGAGAGATAATTTTATCTTGAAGATTGTTAAATTATAATGGTGATTCACTACCTTGCCACATCTCTGAGTCAAAAATTAGATCTTTGTTTAGGAATCGATGGTACTCTGCAACTTGGAAATAGGAAGATTTTAGAAGACTCAAACATTGACTTTCTTGTGTGCAAAAAAAAGACGTATTGACATAAGACAAGTCTTTCCTTGCAAGGATACTTCTAATGCTCATACACCACCTCCCCTAACGTTAATATAGCTTCCAGATCACTAACCAGTGTCAGAGAGCAGCCTATGCAACTACAAATTCAAAAGATGTCGAACACAGGGTCAAGCCTAGAATAAGGATTCTTAGCTAATTTAGTATGCTTTTCCCCCCAAATTCATATTAACAAAAACTTGGATATGTCAGAGAATGCATTCTAAGTTCACTCAACCTAGGAGGGAGAAACATAATTTTAAATTAAGAGCTGAAGCATTCTTGTCCTAACAAAAAGCAAGGAAAACGAAATATCACACCACAGGAGGGATTTCACAAATTAGTGTCAACATCAAAACCTTAAAATAGGCAAGGAAAATGGAGATTCATAATTATCTCTTCTACTTGTTTTGTTCAGAGAAGAGATGGTTCTGAGAGAATGACAGTGAATTAACCCCAGCTGGTTTAGGTGGTGCTTTCAATTGCTGCTTCTGATAAACTCCTTTAGCTAGAATAAATTGATGAGGATTTTGGCATGTGGTATTAGAGATGGTTATTAATTTTGTCCTCTTATTTGCATTGCTTAATGTAGTAAATACTAGCTGTATATGGCTACTTAATTTCAAATTAATTACGATGAAATACACTTAAATATTGAATTTTTTAGTCACTGTTGGTTCATTATTGAATATCTTCAGCTAAGATTTCCCATCTAAATATACTAAGAGGTGGCTTAGTTAACTAGTCTTCCACAAATATTGACGCTGTTGTTAACTCCTGATATATTCTCTGCAAATAGAATATTCATGAGCCTCCTCCTGAAACCAGCAGCCTACAGATAATTTTATAAATTGGACACAAGTTGGAAATCTATACTCTTTCAGTTTTTGAAATATTAGCTTCCCAGGGAACAAAATCAAATTCATAAGATATGTTAGGACAATTTAACTCAAGATGTTCAAAACTGAAATGACATATTCTACAATATGTGATAAAACCACCCCCTAACAACTTAAAGCAAAACATAGATTGACCTTAAAGACCTGCCTTTTCCTCATCCCCCAGCCAATCAGTTTTCAAATCTTGCATTTTATTTTGAAAGGTCCTTATCCCCCTAGTCTCTTGTTTCTAGACTTGGCACATATTTAAGTTTGTTACCTCTATCTACTGAGTTTCCTCTCTCCAAACAGTATCTATGCTTGCCAAATGTGAACATACAAAAAACAAATCAGAATGGCACATTCTGATTTAAACTGCTTATTAGTTAATACCCTCAAGATAACATCTGGGTTCTTAGCTGCACTGAGTTAAGCCTACTTATATCTCTTTTTGTCTTCGACTGCACTTTTCCTATCACATCACACTCCAGCAATGCAAAGCTGTGCCACCTTCTACCCCATTTCCACTATTTTGCCCCGCCGCGGAGGCTTTCTGCTCCCGCCGCGGCAGCTTTCTCCTACCGCGGTTTTTTGCCCCCGCCGCCGCTGCTTTTTGCCCCTGCCGCCATGGCTTTTGCCGACGCAGCTTTTTACCCCCACCGCCGCTGCTTTTTGCCCCCGCCGCCACGGGTTTTGGTCTCCGCGGCTTTTTGCCCCCTCCCCCACGGCTTTTGCCTATGCGGCTTCTTGCCCCGCCGCCGCGGGGTTTCTTCCCCCCGGCCGCGGCTTTTTGCCGCCGCCGCCGCGGTTTTTTGCCCCTGCCGCCGCTGCTTTTTGCCCGCGCCACCAAGGCTTTTTGTCCGCGCCGCCCGCGGCTTTTAGCAGCTTTTTGCCCCTGCCGCCGCCTCGTCTCTTTGCCCCCGCCGCCGCGGCTTTCTCCCACCGCGGCTTTTTGCCCCCGCCGCCAAGTATTTTTGCCCCCGCCGCCGTGGCTTTTTGCCCCCGCCACCGCGCCTTTTTCCCGCCGCGGCTTTTTGCCCCCGCCGCCTAGGCTTTTTGTCCCCGCCACCGAAGCTTTCTGCCCCCGCCACTGCCGCTTTTTGCAGCCATGGCTTTTTGCCCCCGCCGCTGCGACTTTTTCCCAGGCCACCGCGTCTTTTTGCCCCCGCCGCTGCGGCTTTTTGCGCCTGCCGCCGCAGCTCTGAGGGCGTGAGCGGCAGACTCGGCTGCCAGCTTTACTGGCGTCCTGGCGGGGTCAGCGCCGAGGGGCGCTCCTGGTCCAGCTCTCCAAGCTCGGGGGTTCCTTGCCTAGGTGCCCGAGCCCCCTGCCTGGGCCGCTGAGTCTTGCATAGAGCGGCCTTGCACGTGGCGGCGATGGGAGAAAAGAAGGAGGGCGGTGGCGGGGGTGATACCGCGGGGTCCAGCCCTCTCATCTTGTAGGTGAGGAAACCGAAGGCCTGAGGGAGAACTGACTTGCCAGGAACCCCTGTTAAGGAGAATTAACAAAGTGTGATTATTAAAGGAGCACTGACTTGGGTGTGAGACCTGGAGGCCCACATCCATGGTTAAGACATTATACGACCTTGAGTCTGGCCTGTTGACTGAGGGTGAGCCACTCCATCCTCGTCTGATTGTGGGGTCTTGACCTCAAGGGGTTTCCTGCAGGAAGAAGCAAATGGGCTTACTTTTCTAGCTCTGTCCAGTACCTTAGGGACCCTGAGGGCTGGAGAGATTCTTGGAGAGCCATCTGGTGTATGTCATGGGTGGGCCTTTCTTGAAGGTCAGTCTGCCCAGTGGGCTGGCTCAGCCCCAGTGAACTGTCTTGAATCTTTGTAGTTGTCTGTGTACTTTTAAGGACTTCTTATCCTTGCACCAAAAGATCCCCTGGAAATTAGGTGGGAAAACCTTAACTTTTGTGGATCCTTGTGTTTGTCTTAAAAGTTCATGCACATGGCCAGGTGTGGTGGCTCACACCTGTTATCCTGTCCTGGATCCTTTGAGTCAAGGTGTTTGAGACCAACTTGGACAATATAGTGAGACCCCGTCTCTACAAAAAATAAAATATTAGCCAGGGGTGGTTGCACGCACCTGTAATCCTAGCTACTACTGTGGCTGAGGCGGGAGGAGCACTTGAGCCTGCACTGAGCTGTGATCTCACCAGTGTACTCCAGCCTGGGCCACAGAGCAAGACCTTGACTCAAAAAAAAAAAAAAACCGACAAGAAAAATTCTTGAAGATTTTTCATTCTATCCCACTATCCATTGGTTTTCATGTCAAGATAATGTCAGAAATTCTTTACAATTGCTTCCAGAAGGAGTAGCCTTTTGATCTAGTGCACAGGTGTCCAGTCTTTCGGCTTCTCAGGGCCACATTGGAAGAAGAATGTTCCTGGGCCACACATAAAATACACTAATGCTAACAACAGCTGATGAGCTTTAAAAAAAAGGTTTGCGCATAATTTTCATGATACCCACCACCACAGATAGGCGGAAAAGTCCTTGTAGTCAAAGCGTTGGACACGGCTGATCTAGTGTCTTGTCATCCGTTTTGGCTTTCTCCCTGATTCCAGAATGCAAGTAGAGATGTAGAAACATGCTCTCAGGACAGCTGTTGAGAAAAAAAAAAATCATTGTCATTTATTCCCAATCACAGCTGTTTGTCATTTGCATTGAAAAAGTCTCCATTCAAACACTGTCACATATAAAATCTATTTATATAAGTCTGTATTTTTCTGTTGTCTTGGCCTTTGTGGGCAGTAGTGTGTTTTAACCGAGCAAACTGTCCTTCCAAGTAATGAAGCCAAAGTCTGCCTACCTGCTTGCCATTTTTCTTCTTTCTTCCCCTTCCATTTTTCTAACCTAAGGATAATTGTAAGAATGAAGTAAGATTTGTGTTTAAGGCCAGGTACTGTGTCTCAGGCCTGTAATCTCAGCACTTTGGGAGGCAGAGATGGATGTATCACTTGAGCTCAGGAGTTCAAGACCAGCCTGGGCAAGATACTGAGACTCCGTCTTGTATAATTAAATTAAAATTTAAAAAAAGAAGAGAGAAAGACCTGTTTTTAAAATTTTAAAAAAGGGGGGAAAGTGTAATGCAAAATGTATACTATGCCAGCTATGATTGGGAAAAATAATTTTTTCTACAGCATTATCTGTAGACTTGTATTAGCAGCATACTGGATCATAAGTGTTTTGCTTTCCTCAAATATGATGAGGTAAGCTACTTTAAAGTGTGGTGGGGCTTTCCTCCGCGTGGCTCCTGGAGGGGTTGAGTCCCAATTTAGCCAATTAATTCGGGTTTAGTTTTGATATGGATAAGGGAGACCAGCTTCATTAATGGTGCACACACAGTTTTGCCAATAAGGAAAAAAAAAGCCACCTGAATGTTCCTACTCATTAGATGCTATCTGGAGAGCTCCTACCCCACACCCACCAAGGCTCGGGCCCTTACAAAGACTCAATGCAGCCTTTCTATATCTCATACTGTATTCTGCAGGATGCTCCTGTGAAAGAAAGTTGTGCTGCATCAGCCATCTCCCTCCTGAAGATCCCTGCGGATGAGGATTTGTGTTTTAAAGGTTCTGAGAAGTCCTGCACCAACAGTTCTCAAACTTATTTGTCCAGGGGATCTTTTCTTCCACTGAACGTAGTTGGGGAGACACGGCCTTAAGCCTTGAGCAGAGAAAGAGACAAGAAACTGTTGTCTCACTTACAACCAAGTGTTGTGTTTATGTTTTAAGTTTTTATGAAACTGAGGTGCTGTTTGAGGTTCCAAATCAAACTGGGTGGTTGAAGAGAGCCTGGTATCCCTGTAGACTTAGCCAGCCATGAGAGGTTGCCTTTTGTTGAAGGAGGTATTTTACAAAGGGAAATAGGGTGTCTCCTGGGCATCACGTTAGCACTTAAATACATGAATCACTGAAATGAAATGAAATGATGGAATGAAATGAAATGATGAGATGAAATGATGAGATGAAATGATGAAATGAAATAATGAAGTGAAAGGATGAAATGATGAGATGAAATGAAATGATGAAGTGATGAAATGAAAAGATGAAATGGAATGATGAAATGAAATGATGAAATGATGAAATGCAATGGTGAAATGAAATGAGGAAATGAAATGAAGAAATGAAATGACGAAGTGAAATGATGAAATGAAATTAATGATGAAATGAAATGAAAAGATCAAATGATGAAATGACGAAGTTAAAAGATGAAATGAAATTAAATGATGAAATGAAATGAAAAGATCAAATGATGAAATGAAGAATGATATGAAATGATGAAATGAAATGATGAAGTTAAATAATTAAATGATGAAATAATGAAATGAAATGATCAAATGAAATGAAATGACGAGATGAAAAGATGAAATGAAATGCGATGAAATGAAATGATGTGATGAAATGATATCATGAGATGAAATGATGAAATGATGAGATGACATGAAATGATGAAATGAAATGAAATAATGAAATGACAAAATGCAATGATGAGATGAAATGATGAAATGAAAGGATGAAATGAAAGGATGAAATCATGAGATGAAATGATTAAAGGATGAAATGAAATGAGGAAATGAGGAAATCAAATGATGAAATGATGAAGTGAAATGATGAAATGAAATGAAAAGATGAAATGATGAAATGATATGAAATGATGAAAAGAAATGATGAAATGAAGTCAAATGATGAACTGATGAAATGAAATGATGAAACTAAACGATGAAATGATGAAATACATGAAATGATGAATTGATGAAATGAAATGATGAAATGAAATGAGATGAAAAGATGAAATGAAATGAAATGATGAAATGACGAGATGAAAAGGTGAAATGAAATGATGAGATGAAATGAAATGATGAGATGAAATGAAATGATGAGATGAAATGATGAAATGATGAAATGAAGTGAAATGATGAAATGAAATGAAATGTTGAGATTAAATGATGAAATGAAATGATGAGATGAAATGATTAGATGAAATGATGAAATGATGAAATGAAAGGATGAATGAAAGGATGAAATGAAATGAAATGATGAAATGAGGAAATGAAATGATGAAATGAAATGAAATGATGAAATAGATGAACCAAAGATACTTATTCATTTTTTTCTTGGCATCCTTCTAAGAATATTTTAGTGAGGTTAATTTCTAAAAATAAATTGCTATTCAATGGCTATACAGTTGGCCTTTGCACCACAGTGGTTTGAACTGTGCAGGTCCGCTTAGCAAAACCAACAATTCTATATCATTCTCCACACCCTGCCCATGAAAAGGATGAGGATGAAGATCTGTTTAATCATCTACTTCCATTTAATAACTAGTAGATATATTTTCCTTATGATTTTTTCTTTTCTCTGGCATGTTTGTTAAGAATACAGTATATAAGACACATAACATATTAAATATGTGTTAATTGACTGCTTGTGTTATTTGTAAGGCTTACAGTAGGCTATTAGTAGTTAAGTTTTGGGGAAGTCAAATTTATAGTGGATTTTCTACTGTGCAGGGGGGCCAGCACCCCAGACTCCGTGTTGCTTAAGGGTCAACTGTACATATTATTTCCTTTCCTGTAAGAGAAAAATGATGAGAAGGTCTTTTCTCCAATAAGTGTATTCAACATGTAGCAGACTTGAAATGTGTTGACGCCACCATTTTGAGTCTCACTTTGAAAACTTATTATTAAAAATCTTACTAAAGTCTACCTTACTTTTCCAACATTAGAAAAAGTGTTACAAAGAAAAGGGGTGAAACCATGCTAGTTTGCACTGAAAATTGAAATTATTTTTTAAAAATATATTTTTACTTTAATTACTTCCAAAATAGAGATCAGTTGCATACAAATGGCAGGTCACCCTAATCCACCCTATGACTGCACTTAGATTCATGAGGAATTGTGCCATCTAGAAAGGGCAGAGAAGAGGAGCCAAGTACTTTGATTCTGTTGTCACTCTGTACTTACTGCTAGGAAGAGGGCATGTTTGTGTATTTTTATGCTAATTATTATCCAAGTTGTTAATGATTTAGGCTTTCAGAACCATATAAAGATTTTTTTCCTTTCAGATATAAACTATCTTGCATAGTTCTTCTGATCATATGAGTGATAAATTTGCCTAAATATTCTTCAGACCATAATATTATGTCCATACAAATGCCAGTAGCAAGAGTAGAATCAACCACAACTGCCTTTGTAATTATTTAAAGCATGTGTGCCTATAAGTAATTGGCATTTTATATAATCAAGAATCTTTGATATAATAATATCTCAACTATTTGAAACATGGCTTACATATATTAATTTTATATGCAAATATATATATAATATCATTGTATATAAAACTAAATTTTGGACTTTAAAACAGCTTCTTAGAATCTTGACTTAAATATCTAAAGTAATATTTGACTTAAAAAAATTTAGCACACTGTCACTATGATGAAAAAATTACTATAAAATTATTTAAAAATTTTTCCACCCTAACATTTAGACTATTCTCACATTTGTGGTTAAAACCTATTGCGATTGTTCTTAGAATTTAGATAAAAAATGTTCCAGAAAGTTTGAAGAGAAGCACTTTAGTCCATTTTTATTTGTTCAAGCATGAAGAAACGGCATTTCATTGACCTTTTAAAAACTATTCAGATTCCCTCTTTGAATTCAAGTGTTTCAAAGATATCTTATTTTAAAATACCAAAATAGGAATAGAATATGAAGGGCTGGTTATGAGTAATATGATACACATTTATGAGAGGATGAGATTACAATAACAATACCTCCTCTCATAGAATAGCCAGCAAGTCTCCACTAAATAACAGTGCCTTGATTTTATAGATGTTTAATCATGGATATTGAGTTAATGTGAACCATTTGTAGACACAGGAGTTTATTAAAGAATTATATAACATCTTTCAAGTATTTAGAGGAGTGTTGAAATTAAGCCTGCATCCCCACGATTTTCAGCGGTGCTGATGCCTAATAAACTCAACCCCTTGCATGCCAAAATTGGCTTAAAGCCCACCCGTTACCCAAGCTACACTTCAAGCATCAAGGCTCAAAAATGTAATTTTAAATATGCAAGAGTTTGAGGAATTCACTACTCACACTTTCTTGAACAGTCTATCCAAGTGCATCAAGCACAATGTGAGTAAAGAAATTTTGACCAAAGGATTGATAGTAATGTTGAATACATTTAATAGTAGATATAAGATTAAAAGGTGAGAGTGAGGGTGAGAAGAGTGTATGAATGCTTCGTGTTATGAGAAAGAGAATGTAGCACCCAGGTCCTACCTGCTTGGTTACATTGCAGTGCCCACGGTAGGCTATTTTATCCAGGTTTCTAGGTTTTTTAGTTTTGTTTTGTTTTGTTTTTTTCTTTTCAGTAGAGTTAGTCCAAGACCAATAAGTCTGTAACTGGTAGATTTGGAAGATTTCAATAGTGCTTAACATTTTGTACATAGCTTTATAACAGTTTTCTTTTCCTTTTTTTCTGAGAGATTCTTTTCAATATACCCCATCATGGTTGAACTGAAAGTCATTGTTTATATAAAATCTACAACTGCTGACATTTTGTATCCTTTGCATTCCAGGTAATTCTTTTTGTGCATTTTCTGTATTTTTCTCCATCAGTCTACCTAGATATTTCTTAGATTTAATATTTTAATATGTTTCTGAAAAAGTGAGCTTTTGCATTTTTAAATAGATAGTTGTTTTATTTCTGCTTTTTCATGTACTATTTCCTCTTTTTTTTTTTTGACACGGAGTCTTGCTCTGTCGCACAAGCTGGAGTGTAGTGGCGTGATCTCGACTCACTGCAACCTCCAGCCCCCATGTTCAAGCAATCCTCCCACCTCAACCTCCCGAGTAGCTGGGATTACAAGTGCATGCCACCATGCCAGGCTAATTTTTGTATATTTAGTAGAGAGTGGGTTTCACCCTGTTGGACCAGGCTGGTCTCGAACTCCTGACCTCAGGTGATCCCCCTGCCTCAGCCTCCCAAAGTGCTGGGATTACAGGCATGAACCATGGCGCCTGGATATTTCCTTCATTCTTTATGTTTATTCTACTGGTTTTATATATATCTCTCTCACTGTTTCTCTCCTTCTCACATTCACTTTGAAGTTGTCAAATAGCCCAGGTGATGTTACAGATTGACTCCTTATAAAAGGAGGCATTACACATTACACATGCATCTTAGTGGCCTTACAAAAGTGTTTGGTTCATTTGTATTGACTATTCACTTTTAAAATATTTAAATAGTCATTAAAATAGCTTCCAACCAATATTATTACACTTATGTTTCTAGCTTTCTTTATTGTATTGATATTTACCTTCATTGCTGTTTGTTTAGGAAATATATTGTGTCACATTATTTCCGTGAAAATTGTTTGAATTTGTGGTATGGTCTAGAAAATGTTAATTTTTGTAAGTATTCGGTATGAACATGAAAATGACATGAATTATAATATTGATGTTCCTTATATAACATTTGCCCTTTTTAAAATCTAGTGGCTTCTTTTAAATCTTACTCTTTTAATTTCTTCTTGTATCTATTACTGAAGGATGTGTGTTTGAAATGTCTATAATAATTTGGGGGCTTATCCATTTCTACTTACTTGCTGATATTTTTGCTTTATATAATTTGACTCTCTAAATACGTGTTTGTGTGTGTGTGTGTGAGAGAGTGTGTGGTGTGTGTGTATATATATGTATATATGTATCAGGCTAATGCACATTTAAGTGATCACATCTTAATAACTTAAAACTTTTATTACACTGGTTAGACAACTTATTTTAATAAATGTTTCTAACTTACATTCTATTTTGTCTACATAGCAACTTTTTAAAAAATTATATTCATGTAGTATGTTTGCATGTGTATCATATATACACACACGATCTGTATTGTTTGAACTTCAAAGTTTCTGAAAATTTATATATTAGTTGCCTCTCGTAACTATGATAGAGACGGAATTTTTTAATTTTGCCAATCTTTGTATTTTAACAAAAACATTGTCTACTTAGGTTTAAGTTAATTTTTGATCATTTATACTTAATTTGTTTTATTAATTTGTTATATATATATATATATAAAATGCCTCATTTTTTCCTATCAGGGTCTGTCTTCTTGTTTTTAAATTATGACTTTTATTTTTATTGTTTTCATAGAACAACAGAGAAATGCATAATGTCCAGTGAATTTATTACAGTTTCAAAGTCGGTCGCGCATGGTGGCTCACGCCTGTAACCTCAACACTTCGGGAGGCCAAGGCGTGTGGATCACTAGGTCAGGAGTTGGAGACTAGCCTGACCAACGGTGAAACCCCGTCTCTACTAAAAATACAAAAATTAGCCAGGCATGGTGGAACGCGGCGGTAATCCCCCCTACTCAGGAGGCTGAGGCAGGAGAATTGCTTGAACCTGGGAGGCAGAGGTTGCAGTGAGCCGAGATGGCGACACTGCACTCCAGCCTGGGCGAAAGAGTGAGTGAGACTCCTACGCGAAAAAAAAAAAAAAAAAAAAAAAAAAGTTGCAAAGTCATACTCACCTTTCTGCTCTTGTCAGACAATTAAGGGGTCTTTGAATACTTCAGCCCTAATAAGTTGCTTCCTAACATACATATTTCCGTGCCTATCTAATTTTAAATATCTTTTTGTTTCAACACCTAATTTTTTATTTAGATCTATCTGTATGTTTACAATATATTTTGCTCTGTGTTCATTCTTTGATTTCAGAACTTCAACCTTTCTGAAGCATGTTTTCAGAGTTTCTCTTTAGTTTCTTTAGTGGAATTCTGCTGGTGGCGTTTTGTTTCTTGTCTCTAAATAAGTTATTTAGCCATAGGTTGATGAATATTTTTCTTGGTTGAGAATTTCAGAATGGCATTATTATTCTTAACAAATAATATTGTTTATTTTACCTTTCATTCTTTCAGATTTCAATATGATTAAAGGTAATTTGATTATTCTAGTGCTAATTGAAATATTTTTCCCTTCCTGATTGTTTACTATTTCTCTAAGAGATACGTAGGTGTAGGTTTATCTCCATTGTAGCTTGCTTAGCATGCATGGAATTTTTGAACATGCAGATTAATGTCTTACAAAAGTCTAGAGAACTTTCAGCCAAAATACCATCACATATTGTCCCTTCCCAGTTGCCTTCTTCTATGAGAACACTCACTAAACACATGCTACACTTTCTCACTGTATCTTCCATGTCTCTTCATGATTCTGTCCACATTGTGCATTTTTTTAAATTTTCTGTAATGCATTCTGAAATATTTATGAACTCTCACCATGGCCATGTCTAATCTGATGAGTTCATTTTTGAGTTTTTAATTTAAAATACAATATTTTTATACAAACTGCTTTTCAAATTTGCTACATCAATTTTTTAGTCTCCTAAAAATATATTCATTTTATTTTAAATTTTTTTACAGCAAATGTGCTTTATAATCAAACAGTGATATTTCTAGTAATGAACCGTTGTGGATCTGTTTGTACTCTTTTTCTACTTCCCTTTCAAATGGTGGAATATCATTTCCTTGCGTACTTAGATGCCTTTGAATGACAAATATTTATTTTTCTCTGAAAATTATTTTTGTGCACTTTTGAGGATTAGTAGGAAGAAAATTTGCCAAAGAGAATTTGAATTTGTTGTGAGTCTTCTAAAGGCACCACCATTCTGGGACCACATTATGTTAATTCTTGTCCTAAAGATGTTTGGACGTATGTTTGGACTGCACATTTAAACAATTTTTAAATTAATTGCTGTAAATCATTAATGATTGAGTTTCTTTAAATCTGTCCAATCTCAAGTCATTTTTATTTCCCGTTTCCAGGGAATGTGAAATGGGACTAATATACCTCTGATTCTTCTTTATACTGAGGATAGAAATTTTGGTTCTAGCTTTAGGGAGGAGCTCCTGTATGATGCCTTACGTTGGGAAAAACTATGTATTTCTTTACTGTCTTATGTGATGTATGACAGTAGGAAACTGCACTCATTCATTTTGGTACATGTCCATAGGGCAAAATCAGTTTCGGTGTTTAGGTATATTTTGTCTGCTTCCTGCATTCCCATGGTTTTCACCTTATATTTTACTTTTTTTTGTGAACATACTAATGCTTCAATTTTTTTCCAGTAATATAATCAACTATATTATGAGAAAGGGAAAAATTTTGATAAAACACAAATTTCATGTTTTCCTACTCTAATTGGCTTTTACGTAAAAATACAGGTAAAATTTATTTGTGCTTTTTTGCTATTTCTGTTTTGCTATTCTCTGTTTGTCTATGTCTTCTCCACATAGGCACAATTAGGGAATTTTGTACACTCTTGTGCCAACTGCTTTGATAGTCACAAGATGTATTTCTCGAACTCCTAGGTATAAAACTCAAGTATCCACAATTTAAATTATTTTTCCCTCACTTCTATTATGTTTCCAGTCTCAATAGAAATCGATGCCAATCCAGAAATACAAGCATTATTCTAATACTTCTCTCACATTACAGATATAGATTAAATTCTCTAGATCTCCTTAAATACTGTCACTTTTCATTACTTGTATCTTAACTGTTATGTTCAACATTTTCTATAATATTAATAAGTTGAGAAAATTTCCTTACTTTCTTATTTGTCCCAGGTTCAATGTTTTGCAGTATCTACCTCACCCTGTGAAGCATAAACATTGTACATGCTGTACAAATAATACATAGTTCATGTACTTAGAGATTGCACAATTTTTATTTGGTTGACAATAGTTAATGTTTTCTTCTTCATTTTCTACTTCCTGATTTTTCTTTATTTAGTATATACTACATTATCATAAAAATAAGAGCGTTTTACAAACTAAAGCAAAAGCAACCCTAGGAATAAAATGAACAATTAAGATATGTAAACATACAGTTAGATATACCACGTACCCTTCTAATTTATTTAGACATTTAATTTTAGTACAATTTTAATTAAAGTCTGTGTATTATCTGTCATCGTCTTAGTACTTTTTATATAACAAATTTTGTAAATCAAAAAGTCTCAATGTTGTTATAAACTATCTTGGCAGAGGTTGATCTCCAAGGAATAATTTCTCTCCCAAATTATGTCAATCAGAATTTCACTCTACCATAATTCTTTTAATCAGTTTAAGAGGAATAATAAATTTCAAAAGTGTTCAAGGTACTTGTTGTAGTTCAAGTACGTTTTGACAGGTTTAAAACTGTAGACAGACTGATACAAACATATTCTAATTGACTCAAAAGTATATAGGACCTGTTTTAAAATCTAGATTTTAAAATGTCGTGTCAACATACACATGTTCTCCTTGTGAAATAATTGCTTTTTATTCTCTGGATAGAATAATTTAATCTTTAAAGCTTCAATTCACTGTTAAAAACAAAATATTACATAAGGATATGCTGATAAAAGTAATTCACAACTAGCTTTTCAATTCAGAAATATATGTGAAAAATCATCAAGCATCTAATGGATTTCAAGGAGAAATGTGTTAGTAATTTATTCCATATGTCTCAATTTTTCCTAGACTCAAGGCTTCCTTTAAAATATTTGTAGGCGTTTAAGAAACCATGTAAACTAAAAAGAGGAAATTGTGACACTGCCGCTTAGGTTTTCTAAATCTTTGGACATGAATCAATATATTTTTATATTTTATCTTAATTAGACATGGTGAGTTCACCATCTTCCTGTCAGTATAGCATCCAAGCTGATTATCATAGATTACAAGTTCAACTATCAACTGTGTTCTGAGAGTCTAAAAAAAAATGAATGTATTTGTTTGAGTATTCTTAAAGCAGGAGTGAGGACACAGCGAAAGTGAGACAAGGAAGAGGGAACAAACTAAAACAGGAAAGATAGAAAAGCCAATACCACACTTGTTAAGAGGCAAGTTCCTGTGTTAGATATCTGGGCTTAATTCTCTGGGAAGCTATGTGGAACATGCCTGAGAATTACATCACTGAATCCAGGGAGATTCTTCTTAGTTACCCCCACTTTTCTTCCCACTTCATGCCCAGTCACAAGCTCCCGTGCTGCTAGAGAAAGTCCTCAGCTAGAAACAGGTGCAAATTCTGGAGATGAGACCTTGTAGAGTGTTAAGAATGGTTTTCTTCCCAGCAGCTACAGGTAAGGAATAGCGGCTGGGCTATTAATATATCTACTACAAATCAATAAAGCCCTTATGCTCCTTTTGGTGATCGACAATGTATTTAAAAATATTAGATGATCAAGAAGGGCTGCAGAAAGGAGGAAACAGAAAAAACAGCACACCTCTTGGTTTATTTTTATTCATTTCATCAGTTTCAAGGAAAATGTGTTGGGAGTTCCTGGCATAGAGAATGTCACAAAGACATGTTTTCAATAGTGGTGCTATCCCTAGTGCACAGAAGACACAGAGAAAGCCCAAGTGGCTGCTGGAACAAAGTCAGACACCTTGCCACCTGTCCGCAATCCTTGGCTCTGCCATCATGCTGAAGATCGGGTAAAGGACTGGCTTCCCTCCCCCCAAAATTAAAAGAGCACAGACTGAGAAACTGAATGTAAGAGACAGCAGTGGATTATGCTGTTCTCAGGGGTCACCTCAGGTTTGGAAGCATTCCTTCAAATTAACCCATCTCAGGCCATCTGCAGAGAAGAAAGGTGGTACCTAACTTTTTTTCTTGTCAGCATTTGGTAGGGGTGTTTTATTGATCAAATATATTCCCATAACCTAGTTTTTTGTAACTAACTAAATACAGTAGATTTTTAAATTTTATCATCAAAATCTATAGACAATTTTTGATTAAAATAGACTCCACATCTATGTCCTGCTTTTCTTCTTATTATTAATTACATTGCTGTATCAAAGAACAAGACTTCAGAATCAAGAATATCTTGTCTCTTTGCATTGAATTTATACAAGGTGCTCTTTCTTTAATGCTGTCTCAAAGGATATATTTTTACTCATTAAAAAGGAAGATCGGACTCTTGTATGTACTGCTCCAACATATTAATAATTAAAATTAGGAAGTAAATGTGGTCAAAGCTAGAGAAAGACTTAAGGTGTCATTTATATTGATTACTGTGTAGCACTCTACAAACAGAAATTTTTAAATATTAGTTTATATAAGTATTTTGTAGCATTTCAAATATTTGAGTGCCTGAAGTTTCTACTCTTATGTAGTTCAGATTATCAATTTCAAGACTTACTCCGCTAGTTAAAATGTTTTTAGTCTCGTTTGAGTATTACATAAAAGCAATTTTCAGTTAAATGTGTTCTGCTTACATAAAACATTACAAATTATTGAGTATTTAATTACATTTTCATGTTCCTGTAATGTCTTTAGAAGATTTTCATATTATTACCTATCAATATATGTATGCTTTGTCAAAGAAAAATCAAGCATATATATCATTGAAATTGAAACCTTTTAAAAGTACTTATTAATTCTATTGAAAAACCACTTTCAGCTTTCTACATATGGCTAGCCAGTTTTCCCAGCACCATTTATTAAATAGGGAATCCTTTCCCCATTGCTTGTTTTTCTCAGGTTTGTCAAAGATCAGATAGTTGTAGATATGCGGCATTATTTCTGAGGGCTCTGTTCTGTTCCATTGATCTATATCTCTGTTTTGGTACCAGTACCAGGCTGTTTTGGTTACTGTAGCCTTGTAGTATAGTTTGAAGTCAGGTAGTGTGATGCCTCCAGCTTTGTTCTTTTGGCTTAGGATTGACTTGGCGATGCGGGCTCTTTTTTGGTTCCATATGAACTTTAAAGTAGTTTTTTCCAATTCTGTGAAGAAAGTCATTGGTAGCTTGATGGGGATGGCATTGAATCTGTAAATTACCTTGGGCAGTATGGCCATTTTCACGATATTGATTCTTCCTACCCATGAGCATGGAATGTTCTTCCATTTGTTTGTGTCCTCTTTTATTTCCTTGAGCAGTGGTTTGTAGCTCTCCTTGAAGAGGTCCTTCACATCCCTTGTAAGTTGGATTCCTAGGTATTTTATTCTCTTTGAAGCAATTGTGAATGGGAGTTCACTCATGATTTGGCTCTCTGTTTGTCTGTTGTTGGTGTATAAGAATGCTTGTGATTTTTGTACATTGATTTTGTATCCTGAGACTTTGCTGAAGTTGCTTATCAGCTTAAGGAGACAGTGTGGCGATTTCTCAGGGATCTAGAACTAGAAATACCATTTGACCCAGCCATCCCATTACTGGGTATATACCCAAAGGACTATAAATCATGCTGCTATAAAGACACATGCACACGTATGTTTATTGCGGCAGTATTCACAATAGCAAAGACTTGGAACCAACCCAAATGTCCAACAATGATAGACTGGATTAAGAAAATGTGGCACATATACACCATGGAATACTATGCAGCCATAAAAAATGATGAGTTCATGTCCTTTGTAGGGACATGGATGAAATTGGAAACCATCATTCTCAGTAAACTATCGCAAGAACAAAAAACCAAACACTGCATATTCTCACTCATAGGTGGGAATTGAACAATGAGATCACATGGACACAGGAAGGGGAATATCACACTCTGGGGACTGTGGTGGGGTCGGGGGAGGGGGGAGGGATAGCATTGGGAGATATACCTAATGCTAAATGACACGTTAGTGGGTGCAGCGCACCAGCATGGCACATGTATACATATGTAACTAACCTGCACAATGTGCACATGTACCCTAAAACTTAGAGTATAATAAAAAAAAATTAAAGAAAAAAAAAAAAAGAAAAACCACATGCATAGGAACAATTACAATATAATATTGTGAACATGTAAATATATATCCTATGTCTATTTTATATATAAGCATATATGCTTAAAAATATAGTTAAGAATTTTTAAACCTAGTATTATAAAGTAAAAATTAGTTAAACTTCTGATGATTACTTGTTAATTAAGATATTATTTTAATTAGGGTGATTTTAAATAAACAAAAATATTAAATTACCTGAAAAAATTCTTTATAAAATGTTTATGATTTTTACATTGGTTTTATTACTTTATTCCACTATTTTATTTTAAGATGACCAGCCTTGTTTAAAATACTGTATTCATCTTAATTAAATTAAATTCCATTTGTAAAAAAATTAACAAATGATTTGCTCTATTATACAGTGCGGTTGTAAACTGAGTCAGTATCTCAAGATTTATCCCCATTATCGTCATCTGTGGCCCTATTTGTTTTATAAATGTATTGTCTTTTTCCATGCCTGTCACATCTCTATTGCTCATTCATTTTTCTCTTTGTCCCTTACAGGGAGCATTGCCTATCTCTAGGTTAAGCAAAAGTTGCATATTAACAAAGCACAATAACCTGCTCAATCTTTCTCACACAGAGAAATGTTTGTTAAGTAATTAACGTGTAGATGATGATACAAAGAGCTTGATTAAATTAGATGCCAAAATACCCTTGTGATTCAGGTATTTAATTTCTTTGAAATCAATAATTGCTGAGTGACTTTAATTAATGCCAATATTCCAGAAGTTGTTCTAGTTAGTGAAATGTATACAACATGCAAAAGTTTCAGAACTCTGAAGGGCAACGTTATTCGATAGTTAAGAATTAAGAATCAATTCACATTAATTATTGGAGAGAAATAATTATTAAGAATTAATGACCGAGAAAATGTTTTCATTTTTTATTTAGAAAATTATTTTGTGCGTGAGTGTTAATGCAGGTTTTGCAAGAAACATAAATTTAAAGAAACAATTATGTGCACAATGTGAATTTAATAACATCTTGAGATTTTCCACGATTAGAGTTTTATTTGGTAAATCTTTAAATGCACATCATCTAAAGATAATAAATGAATCCTGGAAATCTTGTAGGTAAGGATAAATATTAGGATGCATCCAATTACATTTACACACACCTACAATTACATTCACACCCATACATGCACACACACTCACTGATACACATGTGTGTGTATATATACATGAATTTACTAATTGATTTTAACTAACATTTATAAGAGCCAGTAGGATTGATATATATTGTTGAACCTGAAAAATATTTATTATATACATGTTTAATATACACACAGAAATAAATAGTAATTGCACTAGGCTTTTGCAACTGTACTAAAATATGAGCTGTGAATATTTTGTGATCACTACAAATTCTTACACTGAATATGTTTATTTTTATAATATTAATATGTTTGGTACATGTGTACATTTTTTACAATGTGTTATTTTATTTTTGTCATAGAGTCATGTAATGCATAATAACATTTCTGCCAAAGATGGATTACATATACAAAAGTGGTCCATGAGATTATAATACATATTTTTACATACTTTTCTATGTTTAAGTATGTTTACATACATAAACTCTTATCACTGTGTTCTTATTGCCTGCAGTATTCAGTACGGTAATGTAGTACACAGGTTTGTAGCCTAGGAGAGAGAGGCTCTACCATATAACCTAGACGTGGTAGGCTGTACAATCTAAGTGTTTGTAATATTCTCTGTGATGTTTACAAAACGACGAAATTGCCTATGGATGCATCTGTTAGAACGGATCCCTAACATTCAGTGTTGTGTGACTGTACTAAAATGCTCAATCTAAGTTTCAATGCCCTCCATAAAATTGTTGTACTGTGAAATACAAATCTCTCACCTATGGCCTGAACATGTTTGCAAACTAAGCAGATCATGGGAAGGAGAATGTGCCGGCATCACTGGGATGATTTTCTCACACTACATGAATAATATCTCCAGACTTTGCGAATATGACCCACTTGCATAGAGTTAAAGTAAGCATCTCTTTGCTGGGAAATTTATCAAATGGGAGTGTGAAGTGTTTTTAAAAGACACTTGTTTGTTTGTAGCCGGTAGGCCTACAGTGGCTCATGGTAATGGTTGAGGTTGCTAAGATTTGGTGGAAGGAGGCAAAATGAAATGGCCACTTATATGGTATATGGATCACTTGTTTCTGTTGAGTTACAGATTCAGCTGGCTATTTCTCCCAGTGTTAGTTATTTGGAGAAAAAAAATGATGGTAATTTTGGGGTAACAAATACAATATTTGATGAAAGCAAATTTATTAAGGGTTAGACAAACTACAAGATAATTTAGGCTGCAAAGTCAACACGAGACTTCTGGCCCAAATTGTGCAAAGTTTGGGTCCAGCTGCAAAGTTCAAAGGAAGAGGCCATATACGACGATTCTCACTTTTGACACCAACTGCAAGTTCAGGGGTTTCCCCAGAACACCCTCAGTTTCAAGAATTTACTAGAAAGACTCACAGAACTCATTGAATGCCATTGTACTCATGGTTTATAATAGAGAAAGGGTAGAAATTAGGACCAATCAAAGGAAGAGACATATCACATAAGGTGGAACCTAGGAGGATTTTGAATGTTAAGTTTCCATTGTCTTCAGGACGTACTACCTGTCACTGTTGTACAGCAATAAACATGGAGTACTACCAACCTGGGGAGCTCACCTGATGCTAAAAAGACACTAGTTTGAAAATGAAAAGACAAATGAAAGGATGAGATAAGATGACCTTCCACATTAAGGTACTGGAAAAAATAGCAAACTAAACCTAAAGCAAGCAGAAGGAAGAAAATAAAAATTAGAGAAATTAATAATTTATAATATT
>NT_187387.1:0-41543 GCF_000001405.40 Homo sapiens | reverse complement strand
AGAAAGAGAGGTTAAAACATAAAAACATTTAAAATCATCTAATCTAAATTATAAAAAAGAAATCCCCTTCTTCAGAAAAAATAATTTTTTAAGGAAGCACTCAAAAACAAATCTCTACTAGTAGATACACAGCATACACATCTCTTACTATCTCCCATGCAGACTGCATAAAAAGGCTTGCTGACTACTTTTAAGAAAACAACATTCAGATGTCTGGAAAGTATCTGAAATGCATGATTAATCTACACAGATAATTTTCTCAAGAAACTAAATTTTGAAGACAAGTAATTCAAAAGTATATTGTCTTTAAAGTAAATCCACTGGTATTCTTAAATTGCTGTAATACTTTCTCTGTTTACCTTATAGTGTGAACCTCTCAAGCTATGGGAATGCATGTAATCTCTAAGAATAGCTGACTTCTTTTGTAGGAAAAAGCTGTTAGAAATGACTGTTAGGATTTCAAATGTTTGGGAGTGTGTATTCATGTGGGTTTTATGTGTTGAATATTTGCATTTATAATTTTAAGATGCTTAAATCCAAAACTAAAATGACCCATGTAACATAATTCTGCCATAGGATAAATTAAATTCAATTAAATTTTTCCATACAAATTATTATCTACCACAATGTAAAAATATTTATATATCATAAAGATGTAAGAAACACTGACTTCTGTAATACAGCAGAGTTCAATTTCACTGCTACTTAGCTTGATGATATTTTAAGGTCATGTCTCTTGGAATACACATTCAATATTCATTGCCAAATGTCTGAGCTCACCTCTCTTGAAGCCATATTCAATTATCAAATGAAAATAATTTACCAAGCAACCTCACAAAACACAAACTCTAGGTAGCATTAAGGTTTTTCAAAGTGATTATTCCTTACTGGTAGTGATCCTAAGATATTAAAACTCATAGATCACATGATCTGAGATTTTCTAATTGAAAAGCTGTAGCTGTAAACCTTTAATTCAAAGTCGGATACCACCTTCAGCTGTCAAAAGAATTACATAATCACTTAAATTTCTGGAATGAAAGAGAAAATGAAGAGAACAATAAAAGTAACTTTGAAATGCACTGGGAAACAATTGGAAGGAACCAAATGGAGGCAAAGACAGAGAGAGGGCTGTTTATCTAACCTTTCCTTCTTGAGTAGGTTTTCTCTGATATCTCTAGAGAAAAATTGGACGTGTAACAATGAAATACAAAATACAAGATATTGTCTTGGTATAATTACTTGCAATGATTCCAAGATGGCAGAATTTGAGAACCTGCTAAATAGGACAACAAAGTGATCTGCTTTTCCAAAATTTTGCCCCTTAACTTAAATATTATTTCATGGTGAAGATCAATAAAACTGAAAATTGGAATTGCCAGATATTATCAGATTTTATTTTTTGAATGCTTAATAGCTGACCCAAAATCTGGTCATAAAAATGGAAGTTAAATTGTCCTCAAAATTTAAGTTTGCTACATTTGTAAGCGCCACTTCCTTCTTCAAAATTTCAAACTTTCTCATATCTAGCAGCAACTTGAAATTAGCAATTTAAGCATGTAAATTCATCGTGGAAACCAAATTGATTAAAATTGTATGTGTATTCATGATAATGTTTAAAATTTTTGCTACATTTAAACCCTAAGTTAGTTACAAAAACTCTAAAATTATGCTTGTTTAAAAACTTGGGATAACTTGCTTTTGAAAACATACTGACATATTCATTCCATTCTTATAATTATTTTTGTATCACTCCCAAACAGCACACCATTGTATATGTCCCCAAAATGGCACTTCTTTGCTAAAGCCACTAAGACAGAAATACTTTTGAGCCAGATGCAATGGCTCATGCCTATAATCTCAGTACTTAGGGAGGCCTAGGTTAGAGGACTGCTTGAAGATAGGAGTTCGTGACCTGCCTGGGCAACATAGCAAGACCCAGTCTTTACAAATGAAATGAAAACAAAATATAAAATAAATGAGCTGGGCATAGTAGTGCACACCCGTGGTCATAGCTATCAGGAGGCTGAGATGAGAGGACCATATGAACCTAGGAGTTTGGGGCTGTGATGAGCTATGATTGCACCACTGCACCTCAGTCAGAACTACGGGTTGCTGAGTTAGAAATAAATTCTCAGTTCTGAATATAATAACTGCTCCTGACACTCCCCAGAATCCTGCAAATGAGCTGGGTTTTCTGGTGCCTCTCTATAGTCCCTCTTTCTCAGGAAACACCCCCATGGTTTTCCCTGCTGTGCTATTAATTACACCCATGCTTATTATATGTCAGTTCAGTTTTATCTAGATTCTCCCGAAGTCAGTGCTGAACTTAGTTGTTTGAAAATGTATATATTGTAACAGTTACCAAAAAGACAAAATACAGCTAGATATTTATGCTATTTGTTTCATTTCTATCGTAGGTATATTTCCTTTTAAAATTCATATGTATCTTTCTCTAAGGATTGTCTCCATTTTCAGATGTTAAACACTTTCTCATGCACAAACCACCTAAGCAGCATAGACACAGAGTCCGTGTCAGGGAATGTTACATTCAGGATAGGCACCTATTATTCTGTAACTCAGAAGCAGGAAAATGGATGTCCTCAAGCAGATGCTTTTCTTGACAGATACAAAAAATTGACAAGGATCATTGACTTACTTCCAACCCACCATTCATCTCTTTTCTCTTATTTTGACCCTAAGGGTCCCAGAGGGATAATGGCCCTACATTGTTATTTAGAATTCAGATTTCAGACTGCATTTCTTATATCATTTTTTATAAGTAGTGGTTGCACACAGTTGAGACAATACTATGATATTAATCTACATTCCTCGTTAAATTGATTTTTTTGTCTTCTATTTTTTTAGCTTAGGTACAATTTCTCACACGGTTTCTCAGGAAGGAACATTGGGATTTCCCAATGACTTAAACATTTAGAACATAGTCTATTCATATATATGAAGAGCTTGTGTAGAAAGTATAATTTACTTATACTATTACGCTTAAGAAATTATGTGAAATAATGTGAAAATAATCTTATAACATTTGCATGCATATTTGCCGCAAGAGTCATACTTCATTGATACTTAATCATAATCTTGGACATTGCGGGTTCCAATAACCAATATTTAATGCAAGACTGTAAACTTACTAGAGAGAAAACCTTATTTATAAATTTTCATGTATTCTTTTCTTGACAATAATAATGAGCTATGAGATTTGTATTTTAAAAGATACTTAGTAATAAAAACTTTAATTTTTAAAACTTTTATTTTTAAATTCTGCTTAATTGCATAAAAGTTAAATGGTAATATTTAATATTTAATGAGGCTTATTGATCTAAATGATGATATGCAGCTTGGGTTATACTTGCAATTATAAGATTTGCTCATTACACCTAAGCAATCTCCTTCACTCAATCTAGCTACCACAAAGGAAGCAAAATTCCCTGAATGATAATATCAAAGCATTCCATTATGTTTTCTATTAAGTTGTTTTGTTCTTTGAATCATTGTCTATTTTAATTTATCCTTTTAGAAAGAAAACAAATTACTTAACTTGCATTTCCCACTAGAAGCTTCACTGCAGCTAGACTTGGAATTGATTTCAGGCCATTTTTTAATAAATGATGGTCCCCAGTGAAGGATAGAATATTTGAGCAATCAATACTGAGTAAATAAAAGGGTTTTTTGGGTAAATAAGAGAGAAGATACCTATTTTTTTCAAATATTTTAAATATCTAATAACCTATTCCTCATCTAAAACAAGCCACAATTACTGGAAATGATGGTCAGAGGAAGGTTTTATCAACCCTGTGTAATACTACACGTCATGTTGGATCACTATTACAGAGAAACAGTTGTCATGCTGCATTTTAGTAATTCTACACATTACCAGAGAAATGAACAACTCTTGTAGCCACAGAAACCCAATGTAGCTACTGTCTACATATTCTTGTTTTAGCAACCCTGTGTAATACTACACGTCATGTTGGATCACTATTACAGAGAAACAGTTGTCATGCTGCATTGTAATAACTCTACACATTACCAGAGAAATAAACAACTCTATAGCCACAGAAATCCAACATAGCTACTGTCTACATATTCTTGTTTTAGACCTTTGGTGAAAATACTATGTGTATTAAATATATTTTACATTAGTTTTATCACAAAAAATAAAAATGAGAATTCTATTAAATGCTAATATAAACTCTGGCATGAAAGAAAAATTAAAATCAAAGCTGATCTTAATTAACAAATTGTATTATCTGCTTACATGTATATACAACTATTCATATACAAAGGCACACATGCACTTGTGGTTTTGAAAAATATCTATTTCATTTCAAAAATTCATTGAACAATATTACATATGGCAAGAAAACTGCCCTTTTTGAAGGATCTTTTAAAAAGTGTTAAACTTTATTAGATACTTCAAACTAGCAAAGCTCAACTTCATCACAATTATATAATAACACTGCACGCTTTCAATTTTATCTCTAGAAAAATACCTATCCCTTGAAATAAACTCTGTGAACTTCTTGCTCACAGATTTCATTTCAAGCCTTGAAATTGCAGAAAATCAATGCCAAATATACTTGACCCAAGAGGAAAAGAAAATTTCAGGGGTGTCAGGATGTTTTATCACATAAAATACAGAATTGCAATTTGTATCTGAGCAGGCAACACACCTCCAAAAATAATACAATACTTATCACAAAATACATTCACAGATACTAGATTTGGCACAAACCACTCCATACAGCTATTGATCAAGTCAATATTGAAAGCCTTATTACAAACTCTATGGCCCTTTTCTACTCTCCAACAGACATTTCAGGATGCCACAAACTTGCAGCTCCACTCTATCATTAATTTCCCCTAAATACGCTTGGCAGAAGAATGAGAAACGTCACGTTTTTTCATTTAATTTCTAAAGAACATCACATCCTTTAAGAATAGGTTCTTGAAATTTTAAAATGTAAAACATAAAAACCCTAAAGAAAAGAAACAAACATCCAAAAACTTTTCTTCAAAATCCCAACAACTTTATATGCTATGTGTTCTTGTAAAATACCACACACACAAACTCACATGCATACCCACCCCCCCAAAACACACACACACACACACACACACACACACACACGTAGCCTCATAATACCATATATATATATTGACATTTAAGCAATTTGTTGTAATCTTCCGCCAGGTTTTTGTTACAGGGTATTGTAATGCCTCTACACCAGTTAAATTGAAATAGAGTTAGGTGTGAGTAAATGCATCAAAATTGAAGCCATCTTTCCGAAAAATGCAGCATGACAACTGTTTCTCTGTAATAGTGATATACATATCTGGTGTATATATATTCATATATATATATTCATATATATATACATATATATTCATATATATATACATATATATATTCATATATATATACATATATATATTCATATATATATACATATATATATGCATATATATATATATATGAATTCCAACAGAATTCCATATATATATAATGAATTCCAACAGAAAAAAGCCAATTTCGGAAAGATGGCCTCAATTTTGATGCATTTACTCACACCTAACTCTATTTCAATTTAACTGGTGCAGAGGCATTACAATACCCTGTAACAAAAACCTGGCGGAAGATTACAACAAATTGCTTAAACGTCAAACCAAAGACTCACATAATTTCATCATAAAGTGAAATTTGCATCCAACTCTCAAAGAATTAGAACATCCTTGCACTTACCTTGGCCTTGTCCATTCCCCTGATGACCCCAAAAGATCACAGTCATCATCAACAGTCCCGGAGCCCACGTCCACATCCTTCTAGTGACACTTTCATGTCTTCTGGCCATTGCATCTTAAACTCTGCATATTCAGTGGGGTGGATGTGAAAGTACAATAAATTACATTCTTAGAGAAATATACTACGACTCAAATCCCATATCTAATATGCACTGTGCATTTCTGAATTATCCTGCTTACAAGGAGGTACATTTGAAAATCATGCTTCCCTTTAGGATTGTCATATTGATGATTAATATGAAAGCTCATTCATCTTTAATCTTTATTCTAAGCATTCGTCTGAATTACATTTTTAATATCATTTTCCAAAACAGGCCATTTAACCTATGAATGTTAAAAAGTACTCCCAATATACATATTGGAGTTCAGTCAAGCAAAAAAATTGTGTATGGACACTACTTAAGTATAACTTGATATTTAGGCAAATTGATGAATTTAACATACCATGTAATCTCTACATATATACAAAAGGACTTTTCAACACACTTATGTAAGTTTAGCATAAATACCCTTGAAAATATTCTCAAGTTTTAAGTGGTATTCTAATTATGGCAGTAATTAACTGAATAAAGAGATTCATCATGTGCAAAAACTAATCTTGTTTACTTAAAATTGAGAGTAAAATTAATTATAGAAGTTACAAAACACTTGTAATTTTGATTTCAGATATATAACCCACAGGACTTTCATATATACAAACATTATATATGACAATGTATATTTGAATGTTCATTTTGAAACTGCTTTTCATACTGACACATGAAAATACTTAAATGTCCACCAAAGCAAGGTTATTTATTCATACATTTGAATGATATACAGTAGCTCAAAAGAATAAACTTGAGTTGCATGTACTAATATGGATGTGTCAAAAATGAATAGTGAAGCAAAACTAGCAAATTGAATAATGATAAGTTCAAAACTATACCTTTCATATGTAAACATGTACAATAGTTAAAACTATACATTTTATGTTGCATAAATATATAATACAGTATAATAGCGCATAAGAATGATAAACACCTTCAAGACCAAAGTTAGGAAATTACAAGACTACAATTTAAATGATTAACAGGTGGAATTTTAAATCAGAGGTTACTCCTAAATCCCAATTTTTCCACAGTTGACAAAATACGGAGTTAAGAAAAGTAAATTTAATGATTTCCAGAATGAATGCTTTATTCAAAATGCTACATAATTACAATTCTAATAAACTTGCAAGGGAATCCAGTTACCCAGAAGTTTTCTTTCTCCCTTTCTCCTACATCACGAAAGGGGAAGATTTAATTACCAACTTTGCATTACTTAACTTCAGACTCATAGTATCAGAGCTAAAGAGAAATGTAAGAAACACCTAACTCAACCTCTCCATTTTAAATGACCAAATGATTTGAGAAGGTTACAATGACATTTCTAAGTTCATATGTAAAAACAGAATTTTGATGACAATGACAGTTTAAGTACTAATAAACACTCCATGAAAAGTTACTGTAATCCAGGTTATTTTACTGAGCTAAATGCCTTACATTCTTTACCCAGTTTGGTTTTCACAGAAATCCTATGAACAAAGCACTTTCAAAATTTACCACTTCACAGCTAAGAAAAACAAGGCTTAGAGAAATGCTACACGATCCCCTAGTCATGAGGTTAGTAGGTACTATTGTGGAGACTGAGGCAAAACAGGACGATTTCAATGCCTATGCTCTGAACAAGTAAACACTAAGCAGGAATTTAGTTCTAGATCTCCCAATTGTAATCCAATAATCAGCCAAAAAATGATTCTGAGGGGAAAAAAAGATGTCTTGTGTACGGAGCCTCAAGTATTTGATCCCAAATACATCTTCAAATTGAAAATCATTCGAGCATAAGGCAATAGAATTACTGTTTCTAAAATCATCAACCTTTCCCAAGTTGAACATACAAGTATATTTTATCATACATATACTATATGTATGTATAACGTGTGTTTATATAAGTATTCCTGTGGTTTATATATCTGGACTTGGAATCAGAAGTATTTTGTGATATATTTATTTATTTTTTAAAGTCTCCCTCTTTTGCTCTGGCAGGAGTGCAGTGGTGTGATCATAGCTCACAGCAGACTCCAACTCCTAGGCTCAAGCGATACTTTTGCCTCGGCCTCTCAAGTGGCTAGGACTACAGGCACGGACCACCATACCCAGCTAATTTTTTTATAGAGATGGGGTCCCACTGTGTTGCTTGACTGGTCTCAAACTCCTTAGGTCAAGGGATCCTCACACCTAGACTTCCAAAAGCAATGAGATTACAGGTGTGAGCCACCTTGTGTTTTTTGATTTCTTCCATTAATTCTACTTTTAAATTTAATTACACAAGATTAATTTTGTATACATAATGAATCTCTTTTGAGGTTTAAATTACTGATATAATTAGAGTAACACTTAACATGACTGTAATCCCAGCACTTTGGGAAGCCGAGGCGGGTGGATCACCTGAGGTGAGGCATGAGCCACCGTGCCCGGCCTATATACATTCTTTTAACTACTACTTGCAGATATTTGTTCCCTTATAATTATAGGGGAACCACTTTCACTTAGTATCAAAATATCCAGATCCACTCATCAAAGTGTAAATAATCCTTGAGTAAATTACTTTTGCAAATTTATTTTTATGTAATATTTACTTAACTTCTTCTTACCTACATCCAGTAGTCAATTTAAAAGGCAGAATTTTTACTATTTTATATAGAACTGAGGCAGTATTTGAAAAAAATCTCAAAACACTCTTCAGGAAGGACTGGCATCTAAAACACCAGTTCCAATACATATTTTAGTAACATTTTAATGGACAGATGGTTTTCAAAATGTTATTATAATTTAAAAAAACCTTCCTCTGAGTTGATGTTTATGGAAAACTAATATTTCATAAATGCCAAGTTACTATGATGTATTATCTGAATGCTGCCCCTGCCATTCTATAAATATAAAAATCATAGCCTTCTAGCTAACTTTGGTATTAGTCAACAGTTGTGCTGATGAAAAGTAAAATCAATTCATTTAAAAAAAATTTTCATGAAAGAAAAAACAACTTGTAAGAAGCATGGTAGATGAACCAAAAAATAAAGTAAGATTAACCATAAAGACATGCCATGGACTTCTCTTTTTTTGGAACACCCTTTTCATGCATATGAGAATAAAAATTAAATATTAAATACCTACTTTATGTATGTACTTTTACTTGTACCTATTGCTCTTTAAAGATTAAAATAACTCCTAAAGCCTGGATAGTTGAGCCCATTGTGCTCTTCTGCCCATAAAATTGCTAAGCTGTGAATGGAAGTCCACATTAACAATATGAAGATGTTCATCTCTGTTTTTGCAAGTTAAAGGAAAGAAGTTTGTTTTAATCTAACCAGATAGAAATGAGGCTGGCACACGTTTAAAAAAATAAGCCCCAAAGCAAATGCTATCAAATGCAGAATAGAGAGAAGAAATCCTTAGCAAGGCACTAATTTACCAAAAGTTAACATCAGGGTGAATGTCAAGAAGAAAACTGGGAACACAGAAAACACCTGATTTCTGTGTGGCACAGCGTACAGGTCATCACCGTGGCCTCCTCTGTCCTCCTGGGCACTGACAGCCCCCAATTCCGCGGCGGGGTCAAAAAGTCCCGGCGGCGGGGAGAAAAAAGCCGTGGTGGCAGGGCGCAAAAAGCCACGGCGCCAAAAAGTCAGGACAGCGGGGGCAAAAAACCACGCCGGCGGGAGCAAAAAGCCACGGCAGCGGGGGGCAAAAAGCCACAACGGCGGGGGCAAAATGCCACGGCAGCAAAAAGCCGCTGAGACGGGGCAAAAAAGCCGCGGGGGCAAAAAGCCGCGACAGCAAAAAGCCTGGGCGGCGCGGTCAAAAAGCCATAGCGCTGGGGGCAAAAAGCTGCGGCGGCAAAAAGCCTCGGCGGCAGGGGTAAAAAGCCAGGGCGGTTAGGCCAAAAAGCCACGTTGGCAAAAAGCGGCGGCGGGGGCCAAAAGCCGCGGCGGCGGGGGAAAAAAGACACAAAAAGCCGCGGCGGCAGAAAGCCAGGGCAGCGGGGGCAAAACGCCGCAGCAAAAAGCCGCGACGGCAGGGGCAAAAAGGCGCAAAAGCCGCGGCGGCGGGGAGCAAAAAGCCCCGGCGGCGGGGGGAAAACGTCGCCGCGGCGGGGGCAAAAAGCCTCGGCAGCGCGGGCAAAAAACCACGCAGGCGGGAGCAAAAAGCCGCGGCAGCGGGGGGCAAAAAGCCACAAAGGCGGGGGCAAAAATGCCACGGCAGCAAAAAGCCGCTGAGACGGGGTAAAAAAGCCGTGGGGGCAAAAAGCCGCGGCGCGGGGCAAAAATCAGCGGGAGCGGGGGCAAATTTCCCCAAAAAGCTTCGTCGGCGGGGGCAAAAAGCCTCGGCAGCGCGGGCAAAAAACCACGCAGGCGGGAGCAAAAAGCCGCGGCAGCGGGGGGCAAAAAGCCACAAAGGCGGGGGCAAAAATGCCACGGCAGCAAAAAGCCGCTGAGACGGGGTAAAAAAGCCGTGGGGGCAAAAAGCCGCGGCGCGGGGGCAAAAATCAGCGGGAGCGGGGGCAAATTTCCACAAAAAGCTTCGTCGGCGGAGGCAAAAAGCCGCGGGGATGGGGGAGAAAAACACGGCGGCGGGGGCAAAAAGCCGCGGCAGCAAAAAGCCTCGGCGGCGCGGGTAAAAAACTGCGGCGGTGGGGGCAAAAAGCCCGGGGATGGGGGAAAAAGCCGCGGGGGCAAAAAGCCACGGCGCTGGGAGCAGAAAGCCGCCCCGGCGGCGGCGGCGGCGGCGGCGGCGGGAAAAAGCTAGGGCGGCTAGGCCAAAAAGCCGCGGCGGTGGGGGTAAAAAGCTGCGCGGGGGCCAAAAGCCGCGGCTGCGGGGAAAAAAGCCGCAAAAAGCCGCAAAAAGCCGCGGCGGCGGGGGCAAAAAGCCACGATGGCAAAAAGCTGCAATGGTGGGTGCAAAAAGCCTCAGCGGCAAAAGCCATGGTGGCGGGGGCAAAAAGCCGCGACAGCGGGGAGAAAAAAAACGCAAAAAGCCACGGTGGCGGGGGCAAAAAGCCGTGACTTGGGGGGCAAAAAGCCGCGACGGTAATAAGCCGTACCGGCAGGGACAAAAAGCCCTAAAAAGACGCGGCAGCGGGGGCAAAAAGACGCAGAAAGCCGCTGAGACGGGGGAAAAAGCCGCGTCGGCGGGGGCAAAATCAGCGGCGGCGGGGGCAAAAATCCACAAAAGTCGCGGCGGCGGGGGCAAAAAGCCGTGGCAGCGGGGGAAAAAAGTCGCAAGAAGCCGCGGCCGGCGGCGGGGGAAAAAAGCGGCGGGGAGCGAAAAGTCGCGGCGGCGGGGGTAAAAAGGCGTGGCGACAAAAAGCCGCTGAGAAGGCAGAAAAAAGCCGCGGCAGCGGGGGCAAAATAGTGGAGATGGGGTGGAAGGCCCGCACAGCTTGGCATTGCTGGAGTGTGATGTGATAGGAAAAGTGCAGCCGAAGACAAAAAAAGATGTAAGTAGGCTTGACTCAGTGCAGCTAAGAACCTAGATGTTATCTTGAGGGTATTAACTAATAAGCAGTTTAAATCAGAATGCCACATTCTGATTTTTTGTATGTTCACATTTGGCAGGCATAGATACTGTTTGAAGAGAGGAAAGTCAGTAGATAGACGTTACAAATATGTGCCAAGTCTAGAAACAAGAGACTAGGGGGATAAGGACCTTTCAAAATAAAATGCAAGATTTGAAAACTGATTGGCTGGGGCATGAGGAAAAGGCAGGTCTTTAAGGTCAATCCCTGTTTTGCTTTAAGTTGTTAGCAGGTGGTTTTATCACATATTGTAGAATATGTCATTTAAGTTTTGAACATCTTGAGTTAAATTGTCCTAACATATCTTATGAATTTGATTTTCTTCCCTGGGAAGCTAATATTTCAAAAACTTAAAGAGTATAGATTTCCAACTTGTATCCAATTTATAAAATTATCTGTAGGGTGCTGGTTTCAGGAGGAGGCTCATGACTATTCTATTTGCAGAGGATATATCAGGAATTAACAACAGCTTCAATATTTGTGGACGACCAGTTAACTAAGCCACCTCTTAGTGTATTTAGATGGGAAATCTTAGCTGAATATATTCAATAATCAACCAAGAGTGACTAAAAAATTCAATATTTAAGTATATTTCATTGTAATTAATTTGAATTGAAGCAGCCATATACAGCTAGTATTTACTACATTGAACAATGCAAATACGAGGAAAAAATTAATAACCATCTCTAATACCACATGCCAAAATCTTCATAAATTTATTCTAGCTAAAGGAGTTTATCAGAAGCAGCAATTGAAAGCACTAACTAAACCAGCTGGGGTTAATTCACTGTCATTCTCTCAGAACCATCTCTTCTCTGAACAAAACAAGTACAAGAGTTCATTGTGAATCTGCATTCTCCTTGCCTATTTTAAGGTTTTGATGTTGACACTAATTTGTGAAATCCCTCCTGTGGTGTGATATTTCGTTTTCCTTGCTTTCTGTTAGGACAAGAATGCTTCAGCTCTTAATTTAAAATTATGTTTCTCCTTCCTAGGTTGAGTGAACTTAGAATGCATTCTCTGACATATCCAAGTTTTTGTTAATATGAATTTGGGGGAAAAAGCATACTTAATTAGCTAAGACTTCTTATTCTAGGCTTGACCCTGTGTTTGACATCTTTTGAATCTGTAGTTGCATAGGCTGCTCTCTGACACCGGTTAGTGGCCTGGAAGCTATATTAACGTTAGGGGAGGTGGTGTGTGAGCATTACAGGTATCCTTGCAAGGAAAGACTTGTCTTATCTCAATACGTCTTTTTTTTGCACACAAGAAAGTCAGTGTTTGAGTCTTCTAAAATCTTCCTATTTCCAAGTTGCAGAGTACCATTGATTCCTAAACAAAGATCTAATTTTTGAGTCAGAGACGTGGTAAGGTAGTGAATCCCCATTATAATTTAACAGTCTTCAAGATAAAATTATCTCTCTGATAGTAAGATTTTGCCCAACTATTAAGATATTTGGGTGTTTCGTTAAGAATGGAAGACGCTAGTCTCTTGAGCAGAGACTATAAAGGCCTCAGATGATCATTTATAATTATATGCTCTTTTCTTTAACACCTTCAACACAGTTGGAAGCAGCCGATATTCCCCAGAGTTGTTGTGTTTTTGAAACCAAATGCATGGTTCAGTGGTAGAAAACTGGGTTGATCCAAGCTGTTTTCAATAAACACTTCATTTCAGGTGACCTATTTCATATTAAATAATCTCTAGATCCTGTCTTCCAAACTAACTAGATCAGATAACCTACCCTGGATTTTCCCCTTTTAGGGTCTGTGAGCTGCAGTCACTTTTGTGAAAATGATTGCAATGACAAGATAGAGGTGTAGACCGGGAAAATGTTTTGACTAATTTAAGCATAGTGGTATTTCATATGAGAATTTAAGTGACACACATTTGAAAATTATAATGGAGTCTCTTGGCTGAGCTTTAAAGAAAAATAGCGTGTAGGCTAAAAAGGGAACTGTTACCTCTCCTAAAATCAGAAAGATGTTACAGTAATTCTCCATTCTCTAGAATTATCAGGAAGCACCTTTGTGATGATTTACTTTTGCTCTTGGGAGTGTGAACCCGTGTAGTTGTGGAACCATCAGTTAGAATGATGGCTTTCTGATCCCAAAGTCATTCGTTTGGAAAACAATATTTTTCATAAATTTGAAAGTGAGAAGGTTTGATCTTGCCATTCCCAAGTAACTCTCTTAATGAGAGGCATCAGCCTGCTTCAGTGACAGCTGTCACCTTCCAGTGCTGAGAGTCATCTTTGAGTTCTCCATTTCACTCCCTACACTCCAGTTTAGCTGCAGTTCTCTTGGCCAGTCCTCTGAAATACATCTATGGCCTGACGACTTCTCACCACTAATACCACTCATACTCACAGCATTCTCACCTAAGTCACTACCTATTTTCTGTGGACTACAATAGCCTCCGAATTTATTTGCTCACATAACCTATTTATTCTTCACAGTGCACGAGATACACCCCTTTGAAATGCAAACACAGTCATGTTATTCTCTGGTGAAATTATCTCATATATTCCTATCGCATTTAAAATTAATTCAGAATCATCCCATGATTATCAAAACCCTACATGCTCTTCCACAACATGGTTTACTTCCAAGATATCTCTTCAACTCTTTTTTCACTGTACTGAATTGGTGACTAATAGTCATATTTTTGTTTTTGCTCAAAAAGTCTTGACTTGTAAATTTTTCAGTTTTTCTTTTATCTACAGGTAACTCTTTTTTCGTAAGGCGAATTGCTTGCTTCCTTGAGTTCTGCTCTCAAAGATACCCTTCATTTTCTACCTAATATTAATAACTTTAATCACTCATTATTCCATTACTATGCTCTATAGTGTATACAGTTTCTGTTCTTGGTCATGTTATTAACTAAAGTATTTATTGGTTCCAGTAATTTATTCCATAAATATTGTACACATAAAAATTATGTTATTTTTATTGCTGTATGCTCAGCTGCCCAATAACAGTCTGAGGATTAACATATTTGTTAAATGCACAAATACATTCTTTCACAAATATTAGTTTAATAATTTTATATTAAACTCCCTATATACTTACAATATGAATTAGATAACTCAGAATAAACATTCCGTTGGAGAAAACTAAACAATTTGTTATAAAACATCCTTAAAAGCATCAGAAAGTTAATACAGCAATGAAGAATTACAGGACCAAATTAAGAATGGTATGCAAGCCTGTTTGTGAGGCTTATGTTTGGGTTATCTCTTTACTTAGAGTGACTATAAATCTCAAAAGAGAACTAAAGGGAGAAATAACCATATCTACTAACATGGTAAGGGTATTTAAACATCTCTTAGTAATTGAGAAAATTGAAAGAAAAGAAAAAAGAAAGGGAGAAAGAGAAACAGAGTGAAAGGGATAATGAAGGAGAGAAAGAAGAGAAAGGAAGAGGAAGAAAAGTAAAAAGATGGAGGAGGGGGAGGGAGGAAGAAAGAAAGGTGGAAAGAAAGAATGGTAAAGTTTTTAACAACATAATTTATCCTTCTAGAATATGAATCTTGGTCTATTTGATGATGTCCCACAGATTCCTTAGTCTCTGCTCATTTTTTATTTGTTATTCTTTCTGTTTCTCAGAGTCAGTATTTTCCATTTTCTTATCTTCAAGTTCATGACTTCTTCTGTGTGTGCAAATATACTCTGAAATCCCTCTGGTGATTTTTGAATTATTATCACTGTAGTTTTCCACTCCAGAATTTCTGTTATCTCTTTGTTGATATTCCTACTTTTTAATATTTTTTCTGATTCCTTGATTTCTTTGTTTATGTTTTCCTTTTGACATTTGAGTATAATGAAGAGAGTAGTTTTAAAGTCTTTGTCTAGTAAGTTTGAAGTCTGGGTTTCCTTAGAGATACTTTCTGTCAGTTTGTTTTGTTCCTTTGAATGAGCCATACTTTCCAATTCTTTGTATGTCTTGTAACTTTTTTTGAAAACTGGACGTTATAATAATTATAATTACTATGTGGTTATTCTGTAAATCAGAACCCCCCCCCCCACAAACACAGTAATGTTTTGTGGTTTTAAATTTTATTTACTTATTATATTCTCAAGGTTTTTATTTTTAGTGAAATTTTCCAAAGTGATGTGCAAAACTGTTTGCTTTATAAGGTGTGGTCACTGAAGTCTTTTCGTTTCCTTAACAAATGTTAAGCTAATGTTTTGACAGTGATTTTCTTGTATGTCAGGAATTAAGCAAACAGGCAAATACAACAAACAAAGAAAAACAAGTAATCATTATCCAGCAAAATATGTCTCTAGGCCATGCAGACTGGCTTTGTGCTGGGTTCTTTAAAGCCGACACAAAGTGTGTGTTCACTCTTGCACTGAGTGAAGTTCAAGTTCACTCTTGCACAGAGCCTGCACTGAGGGGAGGGATCAGCCAAGGTAAAAGTGTAGGGTCTTCTTATGACATTTGTCAGCATGTGGCTTAACCTATGCATACATGTGACTTTCTAGACTGTCCCATGTACGTGAATGATTTTGAATGTCTTAGTTTTCCAAATACTCTTCTCCAACTTTTCTTCCTGTGCTGAAGGTGATCTACTATATGTGTAAACTCTAATTTTTGCCCTAAGAGTCTCTGGTTTGTTAGGTATCCTTGCAGAGTTTCTTAATAATGTCCATTCCTTATCTGTTCTGTATTCTAGCAACACAGAAAAAAAAAAAAAAGCCTTTCATTAGTCCTTTAGGTATCCCCCAGACCAGTCAGAACAGACACATAATAATTTGCGAGTAAGATCTTCTCTTGTTCCTTTGGATCATGGACCAGGGTTTCTCACTGGGAACGTGGGCTTCTGACACCTCAAAACTGCCAATTTGCTGGGGCAAAGGCAAGTTAAAAATGTCATAAAGTTTTCCAGTTGTCTTTTTCTTGAGTCCACTATCACTCGGTTGTTGTAATCTTTTGACCATTTTCCAGAGTTTTGGCAAAGTTTATTCGGACAGTTTCTCTTAGTTGTGTGATGTTTCTGTGGGGAAATGAAATATTGCAGCTGTCTCCACTGCCATTTTGCTGATGCTCCTCTTTTGTCAATTTTTGCTTCACATTGTTATGCTTTGTTATTAGTTCATGTATTAGTTTTATAGGGCTGCCATAACCAAGTAACACAAACTGGGTGCCTTGAACAACATACATTTATAGTCTTATAGTCCTGGAAGCTAAAAATCTGAGCTTGAGGTGTCAGCAGGGATGGTCCCTTCAAGGGCTATGAGAGAAAGTCTGTTCTATGCCTTGTGTCTAGCTTCTGGTGGTTTAGTGGCAGTCTTTGGCATTCCTTGGCTAATCTCTGCCCTCATAATCACATGGTACTCTCCCTGTGTGTATGTCTCCCTCTACTCAAATTTCTTCTTTTTATAAGGACATCAGTCATATGGAATTCAGGCTCATCTGATTTTATCTTAACTTGATCACCTGCAAAGAACCTATTTCCTCATGAGGTCATATTCAGTGGTTAGGATTTCAGCATCTATATAGAGGAAACAATTTAGCTCCTATCTGTGCATACATGATTGTAATAGCTATGTCTTCCTAAAGCGTTGACCCCCTTCTTACTACAGTATAAAATTTTAAAATCCTATTCACATTTTTAATAGTCTATGTTGTGTCTTATGAGTATAATGAGTTCAGTGTTCTTATGATTGCCCTTTGCATGATATTTTTTGTCATCTTTTTACTTTCAACCCATTTAATATCCTTGCATCTCAGCGTATATTGTGATCACTTGTTTTAATCCAGTCTGACAATCTCTCCCTCTTGATTGGATTTTAATCTGTTCACATTTAATATTATAATTGGTATAATTCTGTTTATGTCTGCCATTTTACAGTTTGTTTTGTATATTTCTCAAATATTTATCTTTATTGCTTTATTTTGCAATGAATGAATATTTTCTGAAATAGGGAACTTTAGATTACTAATGAATTATTTTACTATATATTTTTGAGAATTTTTGTTGTTGTTGTAAGTTTACCATATAGGTATATGGAAAATTAATTAATCAAATCATCTTCCAACTTATACTAGTAAAATTTTAGTAACACATAGAAACATCATTCTTATACAAATCTCTTTTATTTCCTCCATTTTAAAGTATTATCACTTTACACATTACATCTATTAAAGTTACAAAGCCAACAATACATTTTAGTAATTATTACTTTACCATCTAGAGTGATTACCTTATCACGATACATTTTTCTTCCAACTACCTGCTTTTTGATGTTACTGGAAAATATGTTATAGACATATTACATTTCTACATGTCAAATACTCAGCAATACATTATGCATATATTATTATTATTATTATTATTATTATTATTATCATCATCATCATTGAGACAGAGTCCCCCTCTGTTGCCCAGGCTGGAGTGCGGTGGCACAGTCTTCGCTCACTGCAAGCTCCATCTCCTGGCTTCAGGCCATTCTCCTGCCTCAGCCTCCCGAGTAGCTGGGACTACAGGCGCCCGCCATCACGCCCGGCTAATTTTTTGTATTTTTAGTAAAGACGGGGTTTCATTATGTTAGCCAGGATGCTCTTGATCTCCTGACCTCGTAATACGCCCGCCTCAGCCTCCTGAAATGCTGAGATTACAGGTGTGAGCCATCGTGCCCGGCCATTATACACATATTATTTTATAAACAATTTATGATAAACAGAAAACATGCGTTTCTACTGTCTTTTATAATGTTAATTTTACCTATACCAGTGCTTTTTTAAAAAAAGTGGATTCAAATGACTGTCTTGTGCAACTTGCTTTTAGCCTTAGGAATTTATTTTGGTGTTTTTTCTTTTTTTGTTTGTTTGGTAGGTCTGCCAGCAACAACTTCAGTTAATATTTCTGTTTCTCTGGGTAAGTCTTTGTGTTATCTTCATTTTTGAAAACTAATTGCTGGATAAGGAATTGGTGGCTGACAGTTTTTTTTCCTTTGCATTTTTTGAATATATTATCCTCCTACCTCTTGCCTTCCATTGTTTCTGTTAAATCAGCTGTTAATCTTACAAAACATAGGTGCACAAAAAATAAACACGTGCATGAAGTGTGAGAAGGCTACATTCCTGAGACCCTGAGAAAAAGTACCTGCATAAGACTGAGATGAAATTACCTACTCTAGTTATAATTGAAATCCCAAAAAGAAAAGGGGAAAAAATAATGGAGCCAAAGAAATATTTTTCAAAATAACTGCCAAAAATATTCTAAAAGAAGTGACAGAAAATCAAACTTCAGATATAGGAAACTCAGAGAATGTCAAATAGAACAAAAACAAATAAGAATTACATCTTGAAAAATCTTTAAAAAATCAACTCTAAATTTTATATCTCCAAATATATAGAGATATAAATAGGTTATCTTCAAGATATGGAGAAAGCCATATCATGGAAACACTAAAATAAAGCTGTGGGAAGGACCACATTGATATTAGACACAACAGAGTTCAGAACAAGAAATAGTATCAGAGATGAGAGATAATAGATAATATAATCATCAATTCTCAAGAAGATGTAAACCTCCTACTAATTAGGGTATGCAGCTAACAACAGAACCTCCAAATACATGAGGAAAAACATGAAAGAAATCAAAGGTGAACTAGAAAAATCCAAAATTATATTTGCAGACTTCAACACTTTTGTCTTAGTAATAGACAGACTAGGCACAATCTCAGTAATCATGCGGAAGATAAGAACAACAATATCACCAACAAGACATCCAATCTGCAATGGCAGATACTCTTTCCTTTCAAGTGAAAAAAAAAAAAAAAACAGTATGGCGTATTCTGCAACAAACCCAGAATTTCTAATATTTGCGGTCTTCCTTCCTTCTTTCCATCTTCCTTTCCCTTCTCTTCCCTTCCCTTGTCTTCTTCCTTACTTTCTTCTTTTCCTCTTCCTTTTCTTTTTTCTTTTCCTTTCTTTTTCTTTCTTGTATTCTCCTTCCTTCCTTCTTTCTTTCCTCTTTTGCTTCCTTCCTTCCTCCCTCCCTTCCTTTCTCCCTCCCTTCTTTTCTTTTCTTTCTTTCTCAATTTCTTGCTTTCTTTCCTTTTTTCTCCCTTCCTCCCTCCCTCCTGTTCTTCCTCCCTCCCTTCCTTTCCTCCTTTTACCATCCTTCCTTCCCTCCTTCTCCTCTTTATTTTCTTTGTTTCTCTGCATTCCTCCCTTTTACCATTCTCTCTTCCTCCTTTCCTTCCTCCCTTCCTCCTTTCTTTCTTTCCTTCTTTCTTTCTTGTGTTCTTGCTTTCTTTTTTCTCGCTTTCTGCCTTTCTCCCTCCCTCCCTCCTTCCCTCCCTTCCTTCCTTATCTCATTTCCTCCTTTTCTTTCTTCTTTCTTTCTTTCCTTCCTTCCTTCTTTCCTTCCTTCTTTTTTGTTTCTTTTATTTCTCTTTACTACAATTCACATTATTTAAAAAAAATTAAGAGAGGGAGGCAGAAAAATAAAGAACACTTTAATCTGCAGGTAAATAGATTATGTCTGCTGTAGACAAAAGAATGGCCTCCCAAAAATGTTCATGTCCTAATTCCCAGAGTCTAACATACAAATATGTTAGGTTGCAAAGCAGTGGGAAATTAGATTTCAAGTGAAATTAAGGTTGCGATAAAATGATGGAGAGATTATCTTAAATGAGTGGGATCAATGAAATCACAAGCTTCCTTATAAGTGAAAGAAGAAGGCAGAAGAAAGACAACCATGGAGGTGGTGGCATGCGAAATTACTCAACATCACTGACTTTTAAGATACAAGAATGAGGACCCAGCGCGGTGGCTCACGCCTAATCCCAGCACTTTGGGAGGCCGGGGTGGGTGGATGACGAGGTCAGGAGATCGAGACCATCCTGACTAACATGGTGAAAACCCATCCCTACTAAAAATACAAAAAATTAACTGGGCATGGTGGCACATGCCTGTAGTCAAAGCTACTCAGGAAGCTGAGGCAGGAGAATCGCTTGAACCCGGGAGGCAGAGGTTGCAGTGAGCTGAGGTCGTGCCACTGCACTCCAGCCTGGGCAACAGAAGGAGACTCCATCTTAAAAAAAAAAAAAAATAAGATATAAGAATGAGGTCATGTTCCAAGGAAGAAAGGTGGCCTCTGGATGCTGAAAAAAATCAACTACATAGATTCTGCCACGTAGGCCTCAGAAAGACTGCAGCCCTGCCGAAAACTTGATGTTAGCCCTGTGAGTCTCATTTAAGTCTTCTGAACTCCAGAACTGTAGGATTAACAATCACTTTATTGTAAGATATGAAGTTTGTGTTAATTGGTTACAGCAGCAAGAGGAAGTTTATATAGTAATTGTATCATGAAAATGAGAACCATAATTTACAACTGCTTTTAATACTGCACTTGGATGTTTGAAATCACATACATGGAAATGATCTCTATGTGTATGAGGGAGGATAGCAAATTGATGCCAAAATAATGCAAATGCAAATTTTACACTCATTTCTATGTAGGTTTCATTTAATCTTTGAAATTAAAATGAAATAAAAAATTATGATATTTTGATGAAATTAGACTAAAATGAACAATAACAAAATAAGAACTTATTTATATTCTTTATATGGTCAGTAAAGAAGTGATAGTGGAAAAAAAACAAGATCAAATGAAGGTGATGATTTAGGAAGTTGGAAAGATAGCTTAAACTACAAAATGGTATATAACTAGTGGACACTTAGACACATTGATTGATGAACTTCAGCTTTTGGCTTGCTGAGAGCATAAAATGAGAGCAGCTGAGGTTTGCAAATTTGTAATCTCCTTGTGGAAAAACAGGCAAAAACACATCTCAGCCTAATAAGATTTATCTACTAAAGAGTCAAGACTTGATCCATTTGTCCTTGTAATTGAAAAGCTAATTCAAATACTGATTTGATGTATTGTGTGAACAACCATTGCTGATTATCATTGCATACCTCGCAATGTCTTTAATCTGATATCTAAAATATTTGGTAATTCCTAGACTTTCTCTTTTCAAACCCAGTACGGTTTAATTTCAATCTTAGAAGAGTTGTCTTTGAGAAATTCTTCCCTCTACTGCATCTGTGAATGGGCATAGCATGGTTACATACATACTGTCACCCCAGAGAACATTTGTTAAATTAGAGCCAAAGTTTAAAGCAACAGCTTTAACTCACTGGTTTTACTAACGTTTTCCTCCCCAATAGCCACAACAACATTGATACCCTCACACCTTTTAACATAAAGCTTAGTGTTGTCTATTTTTCAGGTGCTGTCATCTATATGGTCTCAGTATTTTAAAAATCAGCTTCCAGCCCATATGGTGGCTCATGCTTGTAATACCAGCAGTTGAAGAGGCTGAAAGGAGAGGATTCTTTGAGCCCAGGAGTTCAAGAGCAACCTCAGCAACATAGCAAGATCTAGTCTCTGTCAAAAGTTAAAAAAAAAAAGGTGGGCATGGTGATGTGCACCTGTTGTCCTAGGTATTTGGGAGGTCAAGGTGGAAGGATTGCCTGAGCTTGGGAGGTTGAGGCTGCAGTGAGCAGTGATTGAACCACTGCACTCCAGCCTGGGCAACAAAGCAAGACCCTATCTCGAAAAATATATATAATAAAAATAAAAATCAACTCCATTGATTTCTACATAAATATGCACAGGTGATGTCCATACAGACATAAATAATAATATATCTGACAATGATTCCATATGATCTTCAAAATGTAAAATGCCTATCTGTTTAATTGGTTAGTCTCATTAATGAATATAGATTCAATTCTACTTTCTTGTTCTAGATAAATTATATAATCTAGCTTTTGGTTTCACTTATTTACTGATAACAACAGGAAGAATGACAAGATATCTATTTTGGAAAATTACTCTGGTAGGAGTAAAGATGAAACTGATAGAATTGCATGGAAAACTAGAAAAAAGTATGGTCTTCTGATATTCTATCACATCATATACCAAAGGCCTCATAAAACTCATATATTTTATCTAAAAATGTTATTTTCACCTTAGGATCAAAGCATGAGACTGGAATTGTATTAAAATGTGCTTGTATCACAAGAACATGTGCTAAAAAGGAGGGGAAAACATCACTACTGATATTTTAAACATATGTTTTACTTTCCATCAACATGAACCTCAACTTGATATGATGCAGATTGAAGGAAATCACCCATAATTCCATATGAAGAAGGCCTGTGATATTTTATGGGAAAATAAATAGAGAAAATGCTAACAGCAACCCTATTAAGCATGAAGCTTTATGGAGCAAAGACAAATCCAGTGGTGAAAGATACACACTCGAGTTCTGTTTGTTGTCTTGGAACAATACGGTTTAGAGGTGACTGGCGGGTGAGGAGAACATATGCAAGTTCACCAAAGAGAAAAGCTGAATGAGGCAATGCCTCTTCCTGACTATATCTCTTACTCGGATAACTATATAATTTATTGTCCAGTAAAGGGTATATTAAAAAATCATATTAAAAGTCATGCAGTGAAGTTGTCCAGGGAAATCAAGACTTAACAGTCTCACTCTGACAATAATGAATAGGGGGGTTCCCTCAAGATAGACTAGGACATGACCCCACACTGGCAGGTAGTAGTACCAGAAAAGAACCCATGGGAAAATCTTTACCTTATGCTTGAGGTAAGGACCAGGCTAAAGTGAAAGCCAGACATAAAATTCTATCTAAAATATATCCACAATCGAAGAAAATATGTGGTGTACAGGCATAGAATGTCTTTACTGGATCATTGAAATAGTAAGATAAATTCAACTTTTTACGTTGTTTTCTTTTCCTCCAGTTAGGGCTTGAGGTTTGTCTCTGGAGAGTGACTGTCAATTGGAGCCCTGCCTTTCTGGGGTTCTGGGCAGGGGGTTGTGGATGCTTAACATGTGCCTTTCACAGGACACTTCCTTACCCCAGCAGTGGCCAGGTGTGCATCCCACGACCAGGCCTCCCTCTCACAGAACATCTGTTGAGACTAGGAAATGCCTGGGGACTGTTGCCTGACCTGTGTCCTGTGTATTTCTGACAAGAGCCACTCTCAGAGACCCTGGCCAGGAGGAGAGTTAGGTTCCAGTGTAGCTCAGCTCAGACACATGGAGGCCACAGGACCAAACATGGGAAATCATAGAAGTAGGTTTATTACTCACAGATCCAGAGAGAAGAGGGTAGCTGAGAAGAGGGTTTAGCTGTGTCCCCAGCCAAATCTCATCTTGAATTCCCACATGTTGTGGGAGGGAACAGGTGTGAGGTAATTGAATCATGGGGGCAGGTCTTTCCCATGCTGTTCTTCTGATAGTGAATAAGTCTCACAAGATCTGATGGTTTTATAAAGGGGAGTTTCCCTGCACAAGCTCTCTTGTCTTGTCTGCTGCCATGTGAGACGTGCCTTTCACCTTGCGCCATGATTGTGAGGCCTACCCAGCCATGTAGAACTGTGTGTCTATTAAACTTCTTTCTTCTGGAAATTACCCACTCTTGGGCATGTCTTTACCAGCGGTGTGAAAATGGACTAATACAGTAGCACACCTCATAGGGCTGAACAAAATGGGGAAGATGAGTGGGGAGCAGGAGAGAGAAAAGGGGTCTGTGGGACTCCAGCCTTTATTAGGCCCAGAGCATTACCCAAATAAGTTTTCCACGGGGTCTAGTCGGTGGGGTGAGTGTCAGCAGGCACATTTCTTGGCTCCCGCTGCAACTAAGCAGGTCACTCTGGCGTGTGGGGGCTGTCCATGTGGGCTGTGAGGTCTGTGGGGTGAGTCAGGTAGGTTGTATCCAACGGTTCTGTAGTGGGCATTCATCAGGAGGAGGCAACTGTGTAGGGTGAATTTCTGGGCCAGCCATACTGAGAAACTGTGAGGGTTAGAACTGGAAATTGTCAACGGAATCTGAACCCAGCTACCATATGAGAGAGTTCGACTTACGTTCAATGTGAATGCCATGGCAATATTAAAAGGTAAGAAATGGCTCCATAAGTGCTTGAGGTATATAGGAGAAACCTAGAATTTATGCAAACAGTGAGAAGATTGGATTGGTTTTCCATCACATATTTTAATACTAGCAGCATATTATATATGTCAATCCATCAGACATTCAGAAATGCATGCTTATGAAAATTTTTTGCACCTTCAGACAAAAGACAAGGGTAGAAGACATTTGTAACCCTATAAACACTAGTAAATTAAAAACAGAAGGACCTTATGTCCTAACATATTTGTGTTGGGAAAGGCTGCCCTGTGAAATATGGGATTTCTTAAACATATTTTAAAAATCATGGGTGTCAATATTTTTTAGAAATCCATTTAAATTTTCTCTTGCTATTTTACAATGCCTATTTATTTATTTAGTGGCTCTGCTGATTTTGATGTATATCCTAAACTTTACATTCTCTTTAAAGGATGTTTTATACAACTTTATGTAAAATGTTTCAGTGTCTTCACATTCTCTCCCTGTCCTTTTGTTTTGCTCTTATATGGTGGTCTTGAGTCTTTTCTCTGGCTTTTCAAACCTAGTAAGACTAAGACACTAAAGTAACTTTGCCCGTGGTTTGGTAATGCCTTCTAAAGCACATCCTAAGCTCTCGTGCATACAGGGGTCTCCTTTGAGCTCTGTGCTTTTGAGATCCCAGATACCTAAATTCCAGTATTGGAAATCAGTACTGCTCAGTTTCAGTTACTAAGTTTAAAAATGTATTTTAATAGCAAGTTAGTTTAGTGCACTCTTGCTTCTTTCTTGACTGTTTGTATACATGTATATTCCTTTAAATGAATCTTGGAATTTATTTAAAAATTTTAAATTATACTAATGAAACTGTATATTGTTGTGAATTCACAGGTGAATTTGGAAAGAATTTGTTTTTATGATACTAAATCCTTTTTATCCAAGAATCATGTGACTTTATATTTATTCCAGTCTATATTTATATCACTGAGTAAATATATAGAAATGTAGATACATACAGCTGTAGTTATAGATACAAATATAGATATAACATGTTAAATCTATATCTATCCCATATAACATATATACATGTTATATGTGGGTGTGTATATATATATGTTTATGTTATTAAAGAGCTCCCTTAAAATTTTTATTTTATTTCCTATATAATTTTAGGTCGAGCTTGAATTTTCCTTGTATAAACAAGCAAATATTTATACTAGTTTTAACACTGATGTTTAGACATTCTATCTTATTTTAGCATTGAATATTTTCACAATTATTATAAATATTATCTAATATTAATAATGTACCTGTTAAAAATATTTAAAATTTTACCTTTGAATTATTTTATTGTTGAATTTAAATTCCTTTAATATGACAGTAAATTTCTATTTTATGCTTTCTCTATGCATATGCAAATTAATCTATCCACTTCTCTATCTCTATGTAGTAACACATGAAAATCAGGCCTCTCTTCTTCTAATGGACATACACATGTTTGCATATAGAATATCAGACTCTTTATAGCATTTAAAATCTTTAAAGACATGAATATTGCCTTTTTTTTTTTTTTTTTTTTTTTTTTTTTTTTTTTTTTATTATACTCTAAGTTTCAGGGTACATGTGCACATTGTGCAGGTTAGTTACATATGTATACATGTGCCATGCTGGTGCGCTGCACCCACTAATTGCCTTTTAACAAATATATTTTAGCATGTACTGAGAATACCCTATTTATTTTTAATTTGGGCTAATCAATATGATTATTAATATTATTGGATTACCGAATTTGGAAACACATTTTCATCCCCAAGGTGGATATTTGTTGTTTTTTTTTTTTTTTTTTTTTTGCCAATTTCTTGTCTTACTGTTTCAAATGTTGTTGTATATTATTTTTATTTTATTTGGGATTTTAGTATCAACATTTGTAAGTGATGTACTCTACATATTTTTTCTTCAATATCTGGGGGGTTTTATAATTACAGCCATATTGGATTTGTAGTAGACATTCACAAAAATTATTCCTGTATGTTTTATAGCTGTATGAAGGAAACTAATATATTTTACCCCTAAATATATTTCCTTGATATATTTCAAAATGGCTATTGAGAAAGGCTGGAAATGCAAACTTAGCTGCAAAGCTGTCTTGGGGAGATTTGCACTGTTAGAGAATCTGCCTTGATGCAGCCAGGCTTTCTCTGAGTTCTGCCCCCTTGTCTGGATCTAGGAAAGGTTAACTGAGAGTCTGAGGTCTCCAAAGGTCTGAAAGAAACATTTTCTGTCTATTCTCTCTGAGGAATGCTCCCAGTGAGGTTCCACCTATGTAATAAGTCCACTGTTGCTAGCCAGGGTCGTTTTCTCACATAACCTTTTTTTATTTTCCCTGTGATCCAAGACCCCATTCTTTCTGTAAACTTCATGTGGTAGATAAGCTTCTGCACGCATCGTGTGTCTGGGTCTTCGTTCTAAGGGCTCCAGTGTACACACATTGCAGAAACCTGTATGCCTTTTCTACTATTTATCTGCCTCCTATTAGTGATTTTCAGGGAAACTTCAGAAGGCAAAAGGGATATTCTCCTTTAGCCCATACTCAGACAAAATCCCCCAACATTTAACTGATTCCTAATAGCTTAACATCACTTTGAAAAATCCATATATTTATAACCTTTTCTTCCCTCTATGATTTCTGGTCAGCTTGGGTTTTGTTTTTCATTCCATTTACTTCATCCTCAAAAAAAATCTATTTTGCATCTATTTATTCTCATTTATGGACATGGAGAAAAGAAAATAACTTTCATGTGAGAAATGCAAGTCCTTTTAAATAATCAGGCCCAGAGAGACATTCAAATGAGACAGCAGTTCTGTCCTGCTCCTCTTTGAGCTGTGTGTTCATCTAGGCTGCTTGCTGTTGCCACAGTAGCTATAAATTAACCAATAACGCCATACCAGACACTATAATCCACACCAAATAATAGTGTAACAGTGTATAGCCAGTCACTAATAAATGTTATTTCCATAAGCCAATGAGAATTTGTGACAAACGTCTTTGCATCATCCCACTTCTGGACCCTTTTTTGCCTTTAAGAAACTGCTTGTTGCAAAGCTCCAAAGGGAGTTCATATCCAAGGATACTTGGGTCTGTTCCTTCCAGGCAGCTGTCCTCATTGTGGCTCAAGTAAACTCTTTGAATTACGTTTTGTGCTTCAGCCCCTTCCACTTAGATTAATAACATGGATTTGTGTCACCATGTACAGCAATTAAAATGTTTACACTTTTCCCCTCGAGGGCGCTGATGTGTTTTCCTGAGCACTTGGAATAGCTACGTAGTGTTTACTGTCTAGATTATGGTTTCTCAACCTTGGTGCTACTTACCTTTAGGACCAGAGGATTCTTTGTTGTGGGTGGCTGCCCTAGCAATTCTAGGTGTTTCGTTTGACCTCTAAATTTCACACCTCCACCAGTCTTGACATCCCCACAATAACCCTAGACATTGACAAATGTCTCCTGGGGAAAACTCTCCACCAGTTGACAGCCAAAGTTCTGGAAATATTGGAATTGTCAATTGAGATTTTATGTTATCCAAAACAAATATTTTTCTTTGTTTTTAAACATCTACTTCCATCTACTTATCTACTTATTTTTACTTTTATTTGTAACTTAATTCCATCAAGGAGAGAGAGTGCATTTTCTGTTATGCTAAATTTTTGAAGAATGTATTGATTTTTTCTGACCTGATATATGGATGATATGTAGATATTACATGTTTGTATTATCAAATTTCAGGGCGATAATAAAATAAATACTTATAATATTTATATTGTCACTGTATATTAGTTATTTTCTTTCTTCACTACAGGAGTTTTTCAACCTATAGGCTATTTTTCAATTCTAGGTTATCCAGTAGATTTTGAAATGTTATGATTAAATATCTACTTCTCAAGCATTCATCTTTGCAAATGAAACAATCCCAAGCTCTTATAATGCACATCATATAAAGGGCAGATTAGTCAATATATGGTTCAGAAATAATTATGTAATATTTATAAGAAAATTAAAAATTTAGATCCTTAACTCAGATAACAATAATCCAAATTAAAATTTGATTTCATTACATAATTTTAAATGACACCAGAATACTAGTAAAAATGTAGATAAGTTTATATAATCTATTTTAGCTGTAGGACTTTAGTAGCATAAATTCAAATACAGGAACCAAAGTAAGATTGTGACCTATAGTCAAAGGTTAAAATGTACACATTATAGGGGCATGATTAAACTAATTTAAAGCATAATAACATGGAGAAATATTGCAAAACATACATTTTACTGAATTAATTGTTAATATCTAATCATTATGTCAGAACAAAATTAAAGAGTAGCTACACACGCACACACCCACACACAAGTGCAATATTGTCAAATAAACGATGTTCAGCTACACTAGAAATCACACCTGTGTTTTCTCCACAGAAAAGATTAAAAATCACAATAATATTTATTGTACATATGGAGGTAAAGATACTCAAAATATTACCCTAAAATACATTTTTTTTGAGATGGACTTTTGCTTTTGTTGCCCAGGCTAGAGTGCAATGGCACAATCTTGGCTCACTGCAACCTCAGCCTCCCAGGGTCAAGTAGTTCTCCTAGCTCAGCCTCCCAAGTAGCTGAGATTACAGGCATGCACCACCACACTCGGCTAATTTTTTGTATTTAGTAGAGACGGGGTTTCACCATGTTGGTCAGGCTGGTCTCCAACTCCTGACTTCAGGTGATCTACCCACTTCAGCCTCCCAAAGTGCTGGGATTACAGGCGTGCGCCTGGCCAGCTTTTTGACATATTTCAAGATGGCTACTCGGAAGACTGGAGATAGCTTCTTCTACAAGAATAGCTGAAAAGCTGTGTTTGTTGGGGGAGATTTGCATTTGTAGAGAAAATCTGCATTGATATAGACAGGCTTTCCCTGAGTTATTCCCTTGTTTGGGTTTAGGAAAGATTAACTGAGCCTGGCACGTTTACATTTCTAAAAACCATTTCCTATCTATACTTCCCAAGAGGAGGGCTGCTCCCTGTGATGTTTCATCCATGTAACAAGACCACCTCTGCTGTCAGGCTCCTCTTTCTTCCTTGTCATCACCTGTCTTCCGCAAAGCCTGATTTACCAACCTACAGCTCTGTGTTTTCTGTAACCTCAAGACAGCATAGGCGTGTTGACTACCTTGCCTTTCCTGGAGTTTTTATATATATAGCATATATTTGTATATCTATTTATAATATACAAATATTTGTATAGATATATTTATATATATATTACGTAAACTCCAAGTGCATACTTGCGCACATATCTGTAAACCTTTTTTTCCTGTTAATTTGTACATCATCAGTTTGTTTTATAGACTGAAATAATTAAAGCTTCAAGGGAAAAATTTAAACTTTCCTATAGAGAAAAGACAAATATATAGGTGACAAATAATATTTAGAGTGTAAGACGCTTTTTAAAGGTGTATTTGCAATTTGTGTCATAACATTTAAATATACATTTATTATTTTAACTATAAAATTTCAAATAATTTAAGCCAAATACATAGTATATGCAGAAAATTTAGCAATATATCTATGTAGCACCTTACTGTGCATTACTGTAACCAGCTGTCTAATATAAAGAATTAATTAAGGTAGCAGCTACTTTTCAAATAGCGCATTTTTTTCACAGACATATTAAATAAGACAAATAACATTAAACTTTATTTTTAAATTTGCAGAATAGTGGTTTTCAGCAGATGGTTTATTTTAGCAAATTCCATCTTCACATTGTGCTATGCTTTTAAGAGTTCCCGCTGTTAACGGATAATATTTTACTGCTGAAACTATCATGTTGTGATATAATTGCTCATTATGGGCCTTAAAACACAAGCAATATAATTATTTTCAACTTGGAGCAAATTAAAATCTCATCGCAATTTAAAAACTCTAGAGTCGTCTTCTTCTGGTTATTTTAAACTTGTATTTTTCTCTTTATGTTTTTAGTGAGTTGTCTTATCAAGGAGAAGAACTCCAGCTGATTATTCTTTTTTTTCTCTTCCATCCACCTCGCAGGTGTGTTAATAATTTCATTTCTCAGAAAATGTTCTTTCATATCCATCTTACAAGATGAGAGGCCTTTTAACATCTTCCATTCGGATGTGATACGAGTAATGGAAAATATTCCAGCTTCATGAATATGGTGATACAAATAGTTATCCGTCTAACCTCTTTCAGTGCCAAATGTTTACTTGACTCAGTGAATTACTCAGTTGACTGGTAATTTCTTCTGAAATCACTAATGAGAGGATCAGAGGTCTGGCTGTTGTCTGTACCTCATGTGACTCCCAGTGCAGACAATTGTTTCTATGGAGCACAGACAGTTGAAAGGATTGACTTCCTGCCTAGAATAGTTTCTGTTGTGCTTCTTATCCTTCTTGTGGAGATTTCAGATTGTCTGAATTGCTTTTCTTTCTTAAGAAAAAACGCAACAATTCTCCCACCTGAGAGGAATGTAAACTGTAGAAAGTTAGCAGAACCAATCCGTAAAGCTTTTACATTGTTTTTTGCAAAATGCAGCGCTGGTGTCTCCATCACTAACCTTTTCTATCCCTCGTTGTTCTTTCTATGACTGCAATAGGATACCTTTAGGCAAATCTGTATTCCCGAGACAGAGTGCCCTTTTGGTGAGCTATAAGCACACTCAATGGTAGGCTGAAATACTAGCTTTTATCTATGGCAAAATGGAATCATATCAGTGATTTTTTTTAAAAAGGAAATTTAACTCTTGCTATGGTTTGAATGCTTGCCCCTTCCAATCTCATGTTAAAATTTGATCCCCAATGTCGCAGGTGGGGCTTACTGGGAGGTGTTTGGTCATGGGGTTGGACCTTCATGAATGGATAATACCCTCCCTTAGAAATCTAAAGTTATCTTCCCTCCTCGGTGCCCTCAGGAATGAGTGTACCATTCTTTATTCACCTATAATTCCCCCACCCATCCTTTTTGAGATGTTAATTACATGTATGTTACACTGCTGCATATTGTCTGATGTATCAGTGAGTTTCTGGCTTTCTTATTTTAGTTTACCCTTTGTCCTTTAGTTTGTAAAGCTTCTATTTTTTTTCTATAAATTTTCTGATGTTAGGGTAAAATCCATTACTTATTCCATCTCATGGAATTTTTATTTCAAATATTTATTTTTCATCTATACGTGTCACATTTTTCATTTTATAACTTCTATTTTTCTCCTATGTTCAATTTTCATTTAAGTACATTGACATATATATGTATTTATCTGTATGTATTCATAAAATATATTTACTTTAAGGACCTTGAAATTTCCTTCTTTTCTGTCATTTATAAATGACTTATTTTTATCCTGTTAATATATATCTTAATTATATATATCTTACGGCTTCTTTGCATGTCAGAGTTTTTTTTTTGGGGGGGTATTTTGATGTTATGCTATTGAATATCTAGATTTTATTGGCTACCTTTGAACAATGTTGTGGCAGGCAGTTCAGTAACTTCAGGATGAGTATTTGTCTGTTGTTGTTTTAAATCTTCTCTTTAAACTTTGTGGAGTTAGTCTAGAGCCATCTGTAACTTGGAGCTAAATGAGCACTGTCACTAGGGTATGAACCTCCAGTGGTCTTTACTGAATATCCTGGAGGTGCAGAGGGGATTCCCTTCTCTGGCTGGTCAGAGCTAACGTGTCTTCCTGTCATGTGATTCCAGAGAAGTGTTCTTCTTCCAACTCCCTGGTAGTGTCCTTTGCTGAGCTCCTTAGAATTTCATCCTATGTACATTTGGCTTAGGGACTTGAGAGAATCCTTAGGCTGATTCTTGGTTCCTTTTTCTGTAAACGTTCTCTTCTACTACACATTCCAGCTGCTTAACCTTTTTTGATTTTTATCTGGTTCCTCAGTGCAATGACAACGTCTGCTCTCTCTGTGATTCCTCTCTACTGCTGTCACGGAGAATCTGGGAATAAAGCAGGACTCATTCTGGCTCCTTCTCTTCTCTTGCTGAGCACAGTCCTGTGCTGCCTGATGTTCAGTACTTCAAAAAAATGTTTCATATATTTTGTTCAGTTTACTATTCTTTAACTCTAAAAGAGTAACTCCAGTTCCAGTTACAGCATCATGTTCTGTAACTCTACTCCTTGTTGCTTCATTCTGCCATTGTCTGGTATGATCGCCCCTTTCCCTTCTGTAATCAGGCCAAGAGCATAATATAATACTAGTTATAACTGCACAGGTTGCCTCCGTTGTGTAAAAAAATCACTGAGACTTAACTGTGTCCAACTTTTAAAATGTGAATATAAGTACAACTAAAGCTATATTTTGGTTAATATTTGCATTGCATGCTTTTCCATTATTTACTTTCAACATATGTGAAATATGAATATAAATTATAAAAACTTTAAGAGAGTCCATTTAAAAAATCTGGTCTGGTTATGTTTTACCTGGTTTAATACAACGTTCATTCTTGAATTCAGGGTCTAATATAATTGGTACATTTGTCTATTTGCAAAAAAAAAAAAAACTTGACAATATTTTAAAATTAATTTATCCAACTCACAACTTATATGCTTCTGCCGTTGTATGGAAGATACATTTTAAACTTTATGAGATAGCATCCTGTTATACAGTCGATATCCAATTAAATTTCTCTCTATGTTTATTTCTTTCATTAAAAAATTGTTCTTCTAACTGCAAACTTTCATCAGGGATCATGGCTCTTCTATCTGAAGAATAATCTTCAGTATTTCTTTTCCTGTGGGACTGCTTGGGAGAAATTCTTTATTGTATCTTTGCTTTTGATGGATATGTCCACCAAATAGACAGTTCTAGGTCAGCACTTATTTTATTTCAGGACTTGAAAGATATCAATACCTCACTTGTTGGCTTTCGTTGTTTCATTTGAGAAAGTTGTTATCAGTCAACTCTTTCTCTTTGTAGTTACCCCAATTTTTTTTATCAAGTGCTCTTTACATTTTTCTTTTACTTTTCAGAAATTGTCCCATTATGTTTCTAGATGTGTCCTCTGTGTGTGTTTTCCTTTGCTTTGAAAAGCCTCCTGAACCTGTGGTTTAATATTATTGGTCAATTTTGATAAAACCTCTAACATTGTCACTTAAAATGCTGTTCAGAGAAGCTGTTTTCTCCTTCTTAGATTTCAACGTGTTAGATTATTACTCTATCCTTCTTATTTTTTAAATGAACTTACTCTACAATTTTTTTAGTTGGTTAATCTGTATTAGTGTATATTTTGTTATTTTATTCTATTTTATTTTATTATTATACCTTAAGTTTTAGGATACATGTGCACCATGTGCAGGTTTGTAACATAAGTGTTCATGTGCCATGTTGGTGTGCTGCACTCATTAACTCGTCATTTAGCATTAGGTATATCTCTTAATGCTATCCCTCCCCACTCCCCCCACCCCACAACAGTCCCTGGTGTGTGATGTTCCCCTTCCTGTGTCCATGTGTTCTCATTGTTCAATACCCACATATGAATGAGAACATGCGGTGTTTGGTTTTTTGTCCTTGCGAGAGTTTACTGAGAATGATGATTTCCAGTTTCATCCATGTCCCTACATAGGACATGAACTCATTTTTTGTGGCTGGATAGTACTCCATGGTGTATATGTGCCACATTTTCTTAATCCAGTCTATCGTTGTTGGACATTTGGGATAGTTCCAAGTCTTTGCTATTGTGAATACTGCCGCAATAAACATACGTGTGCATGTGTCTTTATTGCAGCATGATTTATAGTCTTTTGTGTATACACCCAGTAATGGAATGGCTGGGTCACATGGTATTTCTAGTTCTAGATACTTGAGGAATCGCCACACTGACTTCCACAATGGTTGAACTAGTTTACCGTCCCCCCCACAGTGTAAAAGTGTTCCTATTTCTCCACATCCTCTCCAGCCCCTGCCGTTTCCTGACTTTTTAATGATCTCCATTCTAACTGGTGTGAGATGGTATCTCATTGTGGTTTTGATTTGCATTTCTCTGATGGCCAGTGATGATGAGCATTTCTTCATGTGTTTTTTGGCTGCATAAATGTCTTCTTTTGAGAAGTGTCTGTTCATGTCCTTCACCCACTTTTTGATGGGGTTGTGTTTTACTTGTAAATTTGGTTGAGTTCATTGTAGATTCTGGTTATTAGCCCTTTGTCAGATGAGTAGGTTGCAAAAATTTTCTCCCATTTTGTAGGTTGCCTGTTCACTCTGATGGTAGTTCCTTTTGCTGTGCAGAAGCTCTTTAGTTTAATGAGATCCCTTTGTCAATTTTGGCTTTTGTTCCCATTGCTTTTGGTGTTTTAGACATGAAGTCCTTGCCCACGCCTATGTCCTGAATGGTATTGCCTAGGTTTTCTTCTAGGGTTTTTATGATTTTAGGTCTAACATGTAAGTCTTTGATCCAACTTGAATTAATTTTTGTATGAGGTGTAAGGAAGGGATCCAGTTTCAGGTTTCTACATATGGCTAGCCAGTTTTCCCAGCACCATTTATTAAATAGGGAATCCTTTCCCCATTGCTTGTTTTTGTCAGGTTTGTCAAAGATCAGACAGTTGTAGTTATGCGGCATTATTTCTGAGGGCTCTGTCCTGTTCCATTGATCTATGTCTGTGTTTTGGTACCAGTAACATGCTGTTTTGGTTACTGTAGCCTTGTAGTATAGTTTGAAGTCAGGTAGCGTTATGCCTCCAGCTTTGTTCTTTTGGCTTAGGATTGACTTGGTGATGCGGGCTCTTTTTTGGTTCCATATGTACTTTAAAGTCGTCTTTTCCAATTCTGTGAAGAAAGTCATTGGTAGCTTGAGGGGGATGGCATTGAATCTATAAATTACCTTGGGCAGTATGGCCATTTTCACGATATTTATTCTTCCAACCCAAGAGCTTGGGATGTTCTTCCATTTGTTTGTATCCTCTTTTATTTCATTGAGCAGTGGTTTGCAGTTCTCCTTGAAGATGTCCTTCATGTCCCTTGTAAGTTGGGTTCCTAGGCCTTTTATTCTCTTTGAAGCAATTGTGAATGGGAGTTCCCTCATGATCGGGCACTCTGTTTGTCTGTTATTGGTGTACAAGAATGCTTGTGATTTTTGTACATTGATTTTGTATCCTGAGACTTTGCTGAAGTTGCTTATCAGCTTAAGGAGATTTTGGGCTGAGACAATGGGGTTTTCTAGATATACAATCATGTCATCTGCAAAAGGGGAGAGTTTGACTTCCTCTTTTCCTAATTGAATACCCTTTGTTTCCTTCTCCTGCCTGATTGCCCTGGCCAGAACTTCCAACACTATGTTGAATAGGAGTGGTGAGAGAGGACATCCCTGTCGTGTGCCAGTTTTCAAAAGGAATGCTTCCAGTTTTTGCCCATTCAGTATGATATTGGCTGTGGGTTTGTCATAGATAGCTCTTATTATTTTGAGATACGTCCCATCAACACCTAATTTATTGAGAATTTTTAGCATGAAGGGCCGTTGAATTTTGTCAAAGGCCTTTTCTGCATCTATTGAGATAATCATGTGGTTTTTGTCTTTGGTTAGGTTTATATGCTGGATTACGTTTATTGATTTGCATATGTTGAACCAGCCTTGCATCCCAGGGATGAAGCCCACTTGATCATGGTGGATAAGCTTTTTGATGTGCTGCTGGATTCGGTTTGCCAGTATTTTATTGAGGATTTTTGCATCAATGTTCATGAAGGATATTGGTCTAAAATTCTCTTTTTTTGTTGTGTCTGTGCCCGCCTTTGGTATCAGGATGATGCTGGTCTCATAAAATTAGTTAGAGAGGAATCCCTCTTTTTCTATTGATTGGAATAGTTTCAGAAGGAATGGTACCAGTTCCTCCTTGTACCTCTGGTAGAATTCAGCTGTGAATCCATCTGGTCCTAGACTCTTTTTGGTTGGTAAACTATTGATTATTGCCACAATTTCAGAGCCTGTTATTGATCTATTCAGATATTCAACTTCTTCCTGGTTTAGTCTTGGGAGAGTGTATGTGTCGAGGAATTTATCCATTTCTTCTAGATTTTCTAGTTTATTTGAGTAGAGGTGTTTGTAGTTTTCTGTGATGGTAGATTGTATTTCTGTGGGATCAGTGGTGATAACCCCTTCATCAATTTTTGTTGCGTCTATTTGATTCTTCTCTCTTTTCTTCTTTATTAGTCTTGCTAGTGGTCTATCAATTTTGTTGATCTCTTCAAAAAACCAGCTGCTGGATTCATTAGTTTTTTGAAGGGTTTTTTGTGTCTCTATTTCCTTCAGTTCTGCTCGATTTTAGTTATTTCTTGCCTTCTGCTAGCTTTTGAATGTGTTTGCTCTTGCTTTTCAAGTTCTTTTAATTGTGATGTTAGGGTGTCAATTTTGGATCTTTCCTGCTTTCTCTTGTGGGCATTTAGTGCTATAAATTTCCCTCTACACACTGCTTTGAGTGTGTCCCAGAGATTCTGGTATGTTTTGTCTTTGTTCTCGTTGGTTTCAAACAACATCTTTATTTCTGCCTTCATTTTGTTATGTACCCAGTGGTCATTCCGGAGCAGGTTGTTCATTTTCCATGTAGTTGAGCGGTTTTGAGTGAGTTTCTTAATCCTGAGTTCTAGTTTGATTGCACTGTGGTCTGCGAGACAGTTTGTTATAATTTCTGTTCTTTTATATTTGCTGAGGAGAGCTTTACTTCCAACTATGTGATCACGTTTAGAATGGGTGTGGTGTGGTGCTGAAAAAAATGTATATTCTGTTGATTTGGGGTCGAGAGTTCTGTAGATGTCTATTAGGTGTGCTTGGTGCAGAGCTGAGTTCAATTCCTGGGTATCCTTGTTAACTTTCTGTCTCGTTGATCTGTCTAATGTTGACAGTGGCGTGTTAAAATCTCCCATTATGATTGTGGGGGAGTCTAAGTCTCTTTGTAGGTCACTCAGGACTTGCTTTAGGAATCTGGGTGCTCCTGTATTGGGTGCATATATATGTAGGATAGTTAGCTCTTCTTGTTGAATTGATCCCTTTACCATTATGTAAAGGCCTTCTTTGTCTCTTTTGATCTTTGTTGGTTTAAAGTCTATTTTATCAGAGACTAGGATTGCAAACCCTGCCTTTTTTTGTTTTCCATTTGCTTGGTAGATCTTCTTCCATCCCTTTATTTTGAGTCTATGTGTGTCTCTGCACGTGAGATGGGTTTCCTGAATACAGCACCCTGATGGGTCTTGTCTCCTTATCCAATTTGCCAGTCTGTGTCTTTTAATTGGAGCATTTAGCCCATTTACATTTAAAGTTAATATTGTTATGTGTGAATTTGATCCTGCCATTATGATGTTAGCTGGTTATTTTGCTTGTTAGTTGATGCAGTTTCTTCCTAGTCTCGATGGTCTTTACAATTTGGCATGTTTTTGCAGTGGCTGGTACCAGTTGTCCTTTTCCATGTTTAGTGCTTCCTTCAGGAGCACTTTTAGGGCAGGCCTGGTGGTGATAAAATCTCTCAGCATTTGCTTGTCTGTAAAGTATTTTATTTCTCCTTCACTTATGAAGCTTAGTTTGGCTGGATATGAAATTCTGGGTTGAAAATTCTTTTCTTTAAGAATGTTGAATATTGGCCCCCACTCTCTTCTGGCTTGAAGAATTTCTGCCGAGAGATCAGCTGTTAGTCTGATGGGCTTCCCCTTTGTGGGTAACCCGCCCTTTCTCTCTGGCTGCCCTTCACATTTTTTCCTTCATTTCAACTTTGGTGAATTTCACAATTATGTGTCTTGGAGTTTCTCTTATTGAGGAGTATCTTTGTGGCGTTCTCTGTATCTCCTGAATCTGAATGTTGGCCTGCCTTGCTAGATTGGGGAAGTCCTCCTGGATAATATCTTGCAGAGTGTTTTCCAACTTAGTTCCATTCTCCCCATCACTTTCAGGTACCCCAATCAGACGTAGGTTTCATCTTTTCACATAGTCCCATATTTCTTGGAGGCTTTGTTCGTTTCTTTTTATTCTTTTTTCTCTAAACTTCCCTTCTCCCTTCATTTAATTCATTTCATCTTCCATCACTGATACCCTTTCTTCCAGTTGATTGCATCGGCTCCTGAGGCTTCTGCCTTCTTCACGTAGTTCTCGAAACTTGGCTTTCAGCTCCATCAGATACTTTAAGCATTTCTCTGCATTGATTATTCCAGTTATACATTCGTCTAATTGTTTTTCAAAGTTTTTAACTTCTTTGCTATTGGTTTGAATTTCCTCCTGTAGCTTGCAGTAGTTTGATCATCTGAAGCCTCCTTCTCTCAAATCGTCAAAGTTATTCTCTGTCCAGTTTTATTCCATTGCTGTTGAGGAACTGCGTTCCTTTGGAGAAGGAGAGGCACTCTGCTTTTTAGAGTTTCCAGTTTTTCTGCTCTGTTTTCTCCCCATCTTTGTGGTTTTATCAACTTTTGGTCTTTGATGATGGTGATGTACAGATGGGTTTTTGGTGTGGGTGTTCTGTTTGTTAGTTTTCCTTCTAACAGACAGGACCCTCAGCTGCAGGTCTGTTGGAGTTTGCTAGAGGTCCACGCCGGACCCTGTTTGCCTGGGTATCAGCAGCAGTGGCTGCAGAACAGCGGATTTTCGTGAACAACAAATTCAGCTGTCTGATCATTCCTCTGGAAGTTTGGTCTCAGAGGACTACCCGGCCGAGTGAGGTGTCAGTCTGTCCCTACAGGGGAGTGCCTCCCAGTTAGGCTGCTCGGGGTTCAGTGACCCACTTTAGGAGGCAGTCTGCCCAGTCTCAGATCTCCAGTTGCGTGTTGGGAGAACCACTACTCTCTTCAAAGCTGTCAGATAGGGACATTTAATCTGCAGAGGTTACTGCTGACTTTTTGTTTGTCTGTGCCCTGCCCCCAGAGGTGGAGCCTACAGAGGCAGACAGGCCTCCTGGAGCTGTGGTGGGCTCCCCCCAGTTCCAGCTGCCTGGCTGCTTTGTTTACCTAAGAAAGCCTGGGCAATGGCGGGCCCCACTGCCCCAGCCTCGCTGCCGCCTTGCAGTTTGATCTCAGAGTGCCATGCTAGCAATCAGCAAGTCTCCATTGGCATAAGACCCTCCGAGACAGGTGCAGGACACAATCTCCTGGTGTGCCGTTTTCCAAGCCTGTTGGAAAAGTGCAGTATTAGGGTGAGAGTGACCCGATTTTCCAGGTGCCATCTGTCACCCCTTTCTTTGACTAGGAAAGGGAACTCCCTGACCCCTTGTGCTTCCTGAGTGAGGCAATGCCTCGACCAGCTTCGGCTCCCACACGGTGGGCTATACCCACTGTCCTGCACCCACTGTTTGGCACTCCCTTAGTGAGATGAACCTGGTACCTTAGATGGAAATGCAGAAATCACCCGTCTTCTGTGTCACTCACGCTGGGAGCTGTAGACCGGAGCTGTTCCTGTTCGGCCATCTTGGCTCCACCCCTCATTTCATTATTTCATCATTTCACTTCATTTCATCATTTCATTTCATCATTTCATACCATTTCTTCATTTCATCATTTCATTTCATTTCACCATTTCACTTCATCATTTCATTTCAGCATTTCATTTCATTTCCTCATTTCATTCCACCATTTCATTTCATCATTTCATTTCATCTCATCATTTCATTTCATCATTTCATTTCAGCATTTCATTTCATCATTTCACCATTTCACTTTATCTCATCATTTCATTTCATTTCATCATTTTATCATTTCATTTCATTTCATCATTTCATTTCATCATTTCATTTCATTTCATGTCATCATTTCATCATTTCATTTCATTTCAGTGATACATGTATTTAAGTACTAATGTGATGCCCAGGAGACACCCTATTTCCCTTTGTAAAACACCTCCTTCAACAAAAGTCAACCTCTCATGGCTGGCTAAGTCTACAGGGATACCAGCCTCTCTTCAACCACCCAATTTGATTCAGAACCTCAAACAGCACCTCAGTTTCATAAAAACCTAAAACATAAACACAACACTTGGTTGTAAGTGAGCCAACAGTTTCTTGTCTCTTTCTCCACTCAAGGCTTAAGGCCGTGTCTACCCAACTATGTTCAGTGGAAGAAAAGATCCCCTGGACGAATAAGTTTGAGAACTGTTTTTGCAGGACTTCTCAGAACCTTTAAAACACAAATAGTCATCCGCAGGGATCTTCAGGAGGGAGATGGCTGATGCACAACAAATTTCTTTCACAGGAGTATCTTACAGAATACAGTATGAGACGCAGAAATGCTGCATTGAGTCTTTTTAAGGGCCCGGGCCTTTGTGGCATTGGGGTAGGAGCTGTCCAGATAGCATCTAATGAGTAGGAACATTCAGGTTGCTTTTTTTTTCCTTACTGGCAAAACTGTGTGTGCATCATGAATGAAGCCAGTCTCCCTTATCCATATCAAAACTAAACCCAAATTAATTGGCTAAATTGGCACTCAACATCTCCAGGAGCCATGCGGAAGAAAGCCCCACCACACTTTAAAGTAGCTTACCTCATATTTGATGAAAGCAAAACACTTATGACCAGTGTGCTGCTAATACAAGTCAACAGATAATGCTGTATGAAAAATTATTTTTCCCAATTATAGCTAGCATAGTCCACATTTTGCATTACACTTTCCCCCCTTTTTTAAAATTTTAAACACAGGTCCTTTTCTCTCCTTTTTTTAAATTTTAATTTAATTATACAAGACGGAGTCTCAGTATGTTGCCCAGGCTGGTCTTCAACTCCTGAGATCAAGCGATACATCCGTCTCCGCCTCCGAAAGTGCTGAGATTACAGGCCTGAGACACTGTGCCTGGCCTTAAACACAAATCTTAATTCATTCTTACAATTATCCTGAGGTTAGAAAAATGGAAGGCGAAGAAAAATGGCAACATTATTTTGAAGGCTGACTTCGGCTACATTATTTGGAAGGACAGTTTGCTCGGTTAAAACACACTACTGCCCACAAAGGCCAAGACAACAGAAAAATACAGACATATAAATAGATTTTATATGTGACAGCAGTTTGAATGGAGACTTTTTCAATGCAAATGACAAACAGCTGTCCTTGGGAATAAATGACAACGAATTTTTTTTATCTCAACAGCTGTCCTGAGAGCATGTCTCTACATCTCTACCTGCATTCTGGAATCAGGGAGAAAGCCAAAACGGACGACAAGACACTA